>NC_000004.12:111800168-111951684 GCF_000001405.40 Homo sapiens
AGATTTCATCTTGGATGATACTTGGACTTCAAACTAGTAATCATGGGATCCATATGGAGTTGGCTGAGAAAAAGACAAGCTATTTTCCTATCAGAGTTCACCCACTAAACACCAGATTCAAGGAAGAAGGCAGCAGAGTGATTTCTTACCCCTTCTTTGTGGCAAGACTTAAGGCCCCTATAGGTAGTCCGAGTTAACTTTCATTGTCTCAGCAACTAAACCAAATATTGGGCAAAATGTTCCAGCAGAAATGAACGCATGGAAGGATTTGATTTGAGCGTTTGAGGAAGGGTGAGCTCTTGAAAAGAAAGCAGAGAAATACAGAATTTGTTAAGGAATAAGTGATATTTCATGTTGTATTTATTATGGAAAGCCTGGTTATCAGGCATTCTGCTAATCATCAAATTCAGTAATCAATACTTGCATATGCGAATGGTGTGTTAGGCTGTTCTTGAGTTGCTACAAAGAAATGTTTGAGGCTGGGTAGTTTATAAAGAAAAGAAGTTTAATTGGCTCAGTTTCTGCAGGCTGTACCAGCATGGCTCCAGCATCTGCTTCTGATAAGGGCCTCAGGAACCTTACCATCATGGCAGAGCTGAAGCGGGAGCAGGAATATCACATAGTGAGAGCAGGAGCAAGAGAGAGTGAGGGGGAAGTTGCCACACACTTTTGAACAACCAGACATTGTGAAAACCATCACAATCACTAGGACAGCACCAAGACATCCATGAGGAATCCACCCCCATGATCCAAACACCTCCCACCAGGCCCCACCCCCAACACTGGGGATTTCAATTCAACATGAGATTTGGAGGGGACAAACATCCAAACTGTATCAAGTAGTAAATAATTATTAGCGTATAAAATAATAATATGCACACAATAAAGGTCTTCAAAGCCTTTCTGAATGATTTAAAATAATTTTGTATAATGTAATTTCATGTTAAAATATAGTTTTCATATTTAACAGAATTAGAGATTACTTAACTCTCCTAAGTTAATCACAGATCTGTGGCATTAAATTTAGCACACCGTATGGTCTTCTATGCTTGGCTCTGTCCTGATAGCAATTTTAGCAATTATTTTGCGGAACATGTAAAGGAATCCTCATCAACAATTTTAAATGACACAAAACAGTAAATTGGGTTATATACTAGACCAAAGCAAAATTAAAAAATGATCTTGATAGGCACAAAAATGAGTACAAACTATAAATATGAAACTGAACATCAGCTATAACATACTTCTTCAAAGTTAAAAAATAATTTAATATTCTTAGATGAAAAAACCTCAAAATTGTACAGATCTAATGACAATACATTTATTTGTATATTTAATAAACTTTAAATAAAAATAGTTTATGGTGGAAGAGATAGAATCTGACAGTTATAGATTTTATGAATGAATGAATATATAGCAATAATTGACATTTTGAAAAATGACATTAGAAAACTTGTTCCATCAGTTAGTAAAACATAATATAAAGCTACAGTAATAAAGTTGATATGGCATGCACAAACATAGGCAGATCAATAAATCTAAAAATAGAACTAGAGACAAATGCAATAAACAATAATTGGCATTTTGAAGCATTAGGGAATAAATGAATTTATTCAATAATTATGATAAAAAACTGGTTACTTGTGGAAACAAAAAGAACCTTGTATCAAATGGATTTATTTTACATAAATAAAAAAACTAAAAGTACTAAAGGAATATAAGATAATATTTTTATACTTCTTTAGGTGGTGTTTTATTTAGATAGAAATTAAAATCAGACCACGGAGAAAAAGCTTCACACATTTGACCACATAAACTTCTATATTGCAAGACACTATAAATATACTTGAAAGATAAACAGTAAATAAGAAAAACTGTGCAACATATTTATAAAGGGTTAATATCCATAATATAAAGATCTTATAAAATAAAGTCTACACAGTATATAAATGAGCAAAAGACAAAAAAAGGTAATTTTATGTTAACAATTATGTTAACATAAAACTTAACAATTATGTTTAAAAAGTTAACATAGTTAACAATTATGTTTAAAAAGATGCTCAGCTGAATAAAATCAAAGGAATGAAAATTAAGACAAGATGTTTTTCATTTGCCAAATTATCAAGGGTTAAAACTGTGCTATTGCACAGCACAACGTAGCACAGTGCAATAGAAATTTCTGAAATGATAGAAATAGTTTGTATATGTTGCCTACTATGGTAACCACTGGCCACGGGTAGTTATTGTGCAACCTGAAGTATGACTAATGAGACTGAGAAACTAATTTTTAAATTGTATTTTAATTGTAATTAGTTTAAATAGTCACACATTGGCACTGCCTCCATTTTGAACAGCACAGCTATAGATAATAAATGGTGTTTTTGAGGGCCGTATTAGTCCATTCTCATGCTGCTATGAAGAAATTTCTGAGACTGGGTAATTAATAAACAAAAGAAGTTTAATTGACTCACAGTCCCGCATGGCTGGAGAGGCCTCAGGAAACGTACAATCATGGCGGGAGGCACCCCTTCACATTCACAGGGCGGCAGGAGAGAGAAAAAGTACTGAGTGAAGGGGATAGCCCCCTTATAAAACCATGAGATCTCGTGAGAACTCATTCACTATCACGAGAACAGCATGGCGGCAACTGCCTCCGTGATTCAATTATCTCCATCTGGTGCTGCCCTTGACATGTGGGGATTATTACAATTCAAGGTGAGATTTGGGTTGGGGACACAGCCAAACGACATCAAGGGGCAAGGAAAATGGCAACAATCATACCCTGATGGTATGAGTATAAATTGATAGATTTAAGAGGAATATTTGCAGGAAAAAATTCTAATATTTTTAACAGTAATGTTTACAGTGTTTTTACATTAGTATTCTCTCTAGTCTAGCAATTCCATTACTAGAAATTTTCTTATGAAATACTCCTACAAGTAAGCAGAGGTATATACAATAGTAGTTTTATTACAGCCTTAAAACAATCATATTGTTCATCAATACGAGTTTGGTTAAACTGTTGTACCTTTAAGCAATAAAACAGAAAACAACTTTAGAAAAATGTTTGATAAATATTTACTGTCATGGAAAAATGTTTATAGTGTGGGGTTAAGTGAAAAAGCAAATTAATCAATATGAAATTTATCTTATAATTTTCTATTAATTGAAATATTTGATTAATAAGACTGGGCTATGTGCATAACATTCTGATATATCTTATCACAATACATGTTCATTCCAGATAATTAGAAAATACAGAAAGCAAATACAATAAATTTTAAATTACTCATAATCTTGTCAGCACTTAAGGAACTTTATTAAAACTTTAACATAGAAATTACAATACAATACTATTCTGTATTTTTTTCCAACTAAAACTATATCAAAAACGTCTTTTCATATCAATAAGTCAGTTAAAATTACTTCAGAGTGTTCCATTTTGCTTGTTACAATAATTTATTTAAACAACTTTGAATTAATGCATACCTAGCTTTTCTCATTGTTGTCTATTATTTATTTATTTTTTTTTTGAGATGGAGTCTTGCTCTTGTCACCCAGGCTGGAGTGCAATGGCGCGATCTCGGCTCACTGCAACCTCTGCCTCCCAGGTTCAAAAGATTCTCCTGCCTCAGCCTCCCAAGTAGCTGGGATTACAGCCACCCGCCACCATGCCCAGCCCATTTTTTATTATTTTTATTTTTATTTTTAGTAGAGTTGGGGTTTCACCATGTTGGCCAGACTGGTCTCGAACTCCTGACCTCAAGTGATCCACCCACCTTGGTCTCCCAAAGTGCTGGGATTACAGGCATGAGCCACCATGCCCAGCCTGTTGTCTACTATTAATACACACAACACTAAGATGACCACCCTTCTAGTCAAGTCTGTACATATAGTTTTAACTGTTTTGCAATAAATTCTTAGATGTCAGAGAAGCCTATTATACTAGCTCAATAACTAAACTCTCTTTTGTAAGCAAGGCCGACCAATGAATTATTCTTTGCAATTAGATATTTCTACTAATAGGATAATGTATTATCTAGGTTAGTAAAACCCTATTAAAAATCTACCAGATATTAACCTTTCTGACTCACTCATTCTACTGCCGAAAAATCTCCTCTTAATGAGCCTTAAGGAAATATTTGAGGCAACGTTCGCAACTGAACCATTTAGTTTGTGACCATCCATTCTCTTTTCTTTTTCCTTTTATGACTTTTTCAAGAAAGACATAAAAATCTTTTTCAGTAAAAACCTGACCTAGAACATGCTGAATCCCTTCTACCTTGGCAGTGAACGCCTTGAGACAGAAAACAAAACTGTGGCTAAAGAAATTCAATCATTCTTCCCAGAGTGAAGCAGAAGATGTTTCACAGACAGCATGTGTCCTCAGAGCAAATCTCGTTACAGCCTAGTATATGCCTAGATCTGGAAAATAACAAGATGAAAAAAGAGAACCTGAAAGACAGAACTTTGACCGCTTGCAGAAGGAGAAACAGAATTCTCTACAAATTGCATTAAATTATTATGTAAGGAAACAAACATTCCAATGCAGACCAGTCAATTAAGAGACAATATTGCCAGACAAATTCAGCCAAGGTTTCCACCCATTTTCAGAGAGGAAAGACCATCTAACTAACGTATTCATTCTATGTATTTGTGGGCTATATGATCATATTAAATTAACAGGTAATTAACAGTACATATTTCTCACTTCATTGTACAGGTTCAGTTATTCTTAGCTAATCCTTTTTATGGGCTATAATACATTCCCAAGTAAAATATCTATGTCAAATAAACATCTGAAAGAAGTAGAAGTTATTTTATTACTCAAATCAAGGCTATATTTTAAAAAATTTTTAAAAATGCAGAGCAAGTAAGCACTATCCTTTATAGAATACCCCTTAAGAAAAATGATTTCTACCAGCATATGGCATGTATTGCACACAATGCTTTGAAAACGCTTTATCTAGTCGTGTCATTTTGTACATTTAGTCTGTATTGACTAGCTCTTTAAATGAAGCACAGTGCTTATGAGGCCAGTGTGATAACCTCAACATCAATTAAACTGTTGAGGTTAAATAACTTCAGGTTGCTTTAAGTGCATGAATATGGTGCACGTGCACAGTACACAGGCAAACACACACACACTACACAAAACCAACAGTGAAAACTAGAAAAACTATGTTAATAATTTAGTGCAATTCACTACTACTTTTAGATAAAGCAAGCCAAAACATGTCATGCTGATGTGTTTTTCCTCTATAAAAATATCTCATTTTTCATTGTAGGTGAGAGAAATACCAATCTGAAGTAATAGATAATTTGAATTATAGAAACATATCAAAGAAGTATATATAGGATTATTTTTCTGAGTACACACAGTAATAATACTAAAATGTGTTCTGCTAGAGATTCTTAGGAGTCTAACTGAAAGGAACCCAGGATCATGACTTGCTATGAGCATAACAATTGTTTGCCTCACATGTGCGTATCCTAAATTTTTGAAAGCAGGACCCTTTAGTAGCAAGCATACTAAATAGTATTATTAAACATTAAACACTAAGTCTGTTCTAGCCACTCTTCAATGCTTTACCCGTATTTACAGTCAATCCTCACAACAACCCTGTAGAGCAGATAAAAAAAAATAAATAAACTTGCCCAATATTGTACAGTTAGAATTAAGAAAAGCTGGAACTGAATCTCAGGTATGTCTGACCTCAGACCCCAAGTTCATTAGCTACTACACTATATAGGCTCATGAAAATATCAAATAGCCAACCCACAGCCTTTTGTATATTTTTAAGATTTTAATAGGCCTTTTGTCTTAAACAATGGATAAATTTAAATTTAGCTCTTGTCTCAAATCCATTGGTTCACAATTCTTTATACCTATGTTTGATTGTTCAATGTGGAAAGGATACTATTATTATATTGATAATATTTCTAAGCAAATTTCCTACATTATCTAAAGTCCTTTGTGGGAATAGATGAAGTTAAAAGTAACTGAATACATACATATATACATAACAATATCTGTGAATATTTTTCTCTGCTAGAAATGAGACAACAGAAATGGGTAAGATGGGCAAGGAAGTGCAGAAGAGTTATTGAAAAAGGAGACTTCAAGCCCACAAAGCAAATGTAGCAGGCAGAGAAGAATGTGAAACTACAAACCCTAGTTGGAGCCCCATCCCATGGGAAGGCAGGGAATTTTTTTCCCGTACTCCATGTGGGTATTACAAAGGTAATACAGTATAGCATAATGCCAGTACTTTAAGAAGTCTCTTCTGGACTTCTCTCTGAATGGCTTCATACAGAGATAACCTTTGTCCAAGCTCACGTCAGGCCCTGAAATCCCGCTGTGTACCAGAGGTGGCACAAGGGAGTCTTGGCTAAGGCTGGAAACCTGAGGCTCAGGACCAGCGTCCAGGGCCAACCTCTTGGACATTCCCTTCTAAGGACTTTTAACCTCCCCGTGGGGAGCTCATGGCTTCCAGGGCCACCTAGCCTCAAGTAATGCCTGCACTCCAGCCTCTCTCCTCAGTGTTCAAGCTTCTAGAAAACAAAATCCATAAATACAGACAGCTTGCAAATAACTTCTACATTTTGCCCTCTAAGTCAACTTCCCCTGAAGGCACAGAGTCTGGCTACAAGTTTGAACCCAGGGGGAAATAATAGAGGAAAAACTAAAAATAATGTCTTGCCCATAAATAATATGCAAAGGTAAGGAAAACAATATTTTTTCCTCTTTTCTCTCTATCATGCCCTATTCCTCATTGACTCTTGCTTTATAAATCACACCGTCTCTAACTTTTACCATTTCTCTCATGCTTTCATCTCTCTTTTCCTATCTCTCCAGGACGTATACCCCTTACTTGAGATAGTGGTGCTGAAAAGGGCCTCCATTTTTGCTACAGTATTAGTTGAAACCGGCAGGGGAACACCTTGAATCTGTAGAAGTATTTGTTAATAACGAACTCTGCATCTTTTAAGTTTAATATCGTGTGTGTGTGTGTGTTTGTGTGTGTGTGTGTGTGTGTGTGTGTGTGTGGAGAGAGAGAGAGAGAGAGAAAGACAGAGACAGAGAAATCATTTTCCTTTTTTATTTTCAACAATGTTTGGCAATGACTATACCAATAATCTTGAGGAAATTCCAGTCAAACACCTAATACCCACCCTGACAAATATGGCAAGTGTATATGCAGTGTTTATAATTTGATGATAAAATAACCACTTTAATTTACAAAAGCCAGTTCTCTGGCATAAACTTTTTTCAGACACAGACACTTCAATATTTTCAAGTTTCCCAGTCCCTTAATTGTTTAACTCACCCAAGTTTTAGCATATTACAAAGAGAAGTTGCATTTAACAGATGTTCATTTCAAAGACCTTCAGAACATTATAAATTATGATAAATTAATTTCCTCATTTCACAGTTTGACAAAGCAGCTCTGAGAGCTTGCCTTGGTCTATACTAAAGGGAGGGAAGAGAAAAAAGCAGGAGGTCGGGATCCCAGGAAAAGGAGCGTCTCTTGACTCAGTAAGTGGCTCTGTCACATAAAACTCATGTCGGCTCTTAAGGAGCCAAGCCAGCTGTATCCAATGTGCCACAAATGCTCTGGCCTCTTTTTTCTCCAGTTCAGTTATTGTGTCTATAAATTCAGCGGGCCACCTGTGCAATGTGCTCATCCGAAAGAACCCCAAAGGAGGCATTAACATATCAAGGCTCATAAAGTACAAATCCTTAAATGTGAAAACTGACACTTTCCTCCTCTCCAGGCTACATCTATATAGATTTCTTTTTAATGAAAAAGAAAAGGCTTATTTTTTTGCTTACAGTAAAATGCCTTTGTGTGGCGTTACGTAATTAATGACTGCATTTTTAAAATTTCTACTATTGTAAAGCTACCTAACTTTATTCTCCTTTGAATCTAAATGTGAGTCCATGGTTAGAATACCCATCCCTATCAGTAACTCATCAATCAATTTAATCATGAATACTACCTATGACTTGTGTTGGACAAGCATCAACTCATAGGACCAAAAACAAATAAGCTTTAAAACTAACTGAATAGATCTTCCCCCACACACATACTTTCAATTCTCTTTTAAACTAGTTTTTCTGAAAATCTGTCACCTACTGGGGAATCCAACAGAGAATCCATTCCTCTACCTTGCTTCTCTAACTCTAACAATAGTCAAACGTTGTAATGTATTTAGTAACATACCTCTATTAGTATTTCACCTGGAAGGTTGTGATTATCTTCTCTGTCTCTTCCTTTACATTGTAAACTTCTAACAGCAGTTCTTAATGGTAGTTGAAAAGGAGCTGAACAGATCATTTAGGGACCTCTTTGTGTCTTTACATTCACCTTCCCGTCACTTCTACCCACTCCAGAAGACTAACAGAACGAGAAGATGGAGAGCAGAAAATGAAAAGAGGTCATGTGTAGTTTACAAAGCTCCCTACTGTAAGGAGGAGATATAGTGCATGCATATTTGTGTGCATATCAGTACCTGGTACATCACAGGAAATTAATAAACTCTGAATAAATGAGTGAGTGAAACCAGGTAAGGCAAAACCTTTCCATTCTGATAAGTCAACACTAATAATTTCAAGTAAATTTGTTAACCAAGCCCATTTTGACCAAAAAGAAAATACAAATTATTTGGATGCATTATTTTCTAATCAATATGTGTTGATTAAACCAGTGGTTGGGAGAGCAGAGAAGGTGGGAGATAATCATTGTGGGGGGAGGGGGGAAGGAAGCAATGTTGATGTTTAAGGGCAAAGCCAGTGTAATGTATGGAAAGCAAAGAGAAGCTCTGGGGTTAATGACTGTTGGGCCACCAATTTCTGCACAAGAGCCAGAACACTTAACTTACATTTGAACGTGTGCCTAAAAGCTGAACCCAAGCTGCCACACTTCACCATTTCCTTACTGATAAAACATTGCAAATTATCATCAAAATGTGATAACTATTTAAGATGAGGCAATAAACACACATTTTGTGATACTCCCTGCATGGTCAGAAGCAACATCCCTCCTTAACAGGGAGTGAGACAAAGAAAAGGATAAGATTCAGTCACTTAAGCTAGTTAAATTTCAGAGTGTGTATAAAAGAATTAACCTTACCCAAAGAGAGGTCTGGCCTTTGCCCTTGTCTCCTGGGAGGTGGTCTCTAGGAAGAGTGGCTTTGCTTACCTGGGGGCTTTAGGTCACACCAGACATTCTAACAACATGACTTATGATAGGGGCTTTCTGCCATGTAGTAACCACTCTGCCTCCAAAGAGGCTGAAGACTAAAGGCCAGACACTCAGGCAGTCAGCTACATGATTGGGCCCCACTAAAAAGTATGAACACAAAGCTCAGGTAAACTCCCCGGTTGGCAGTACTCACTGTGTATTGTCACATGTCATTGCCAGAAAAGCAGCGCTGTCCATGACTCCGTGAGGAAGGGTAACTGAAAGCTCCTGGTTTGGAACCTTCTTGGATTCTGCCCCATGCATCTCTTCCCCTGGGTGATTTGTGTCTGTATCCTTTCCCTGTAATAAACTGTAAATGTGAGTAAAACAGTTTTCAGTGAGTTCTGAGTCCTTCTAGTGAACTCTCAAAACTGAATGTGGTCTTAGGAAGCCCTGAACTCTGGAGTTGTTGTCAGAAGTGAGGGCAGTCTTGTGGATGGCTCTCTAAGTTTCTACAGGGCTTGTCTGATTTTTTTAAAGTCACAGATTCTCAGTACTTCGACACAGGAATTAATTATTTCACATTTCAAAATATATCTATTATCAGCCAGGTGCGGTGGCTTGCGCCTGTAATCCCAGCACTTTGGGAGGTTGAGGTGGGCGGATCACGAGGTCAGGAGATCGAGACCATCCTGGCCAACACGGTGAAACCCCGTCTCTACTAAAAAAAAAAAAAAAAAAAAAAAATTAGCTGGGCGTGGTGGCAGGCACCTGTAGTCCCAGCTACTTGGGAGGCTGAGGCAGGAGAATGGCGTAAACCCGGGAGGCGGAGCTTGCAGTGAGCCAAGATCGCGCCACTGCACTCCAGCCTGGGCGATAGAGCGAGCCTCTGTCTCAAAAAAAAAAAAAGAAAAAGAAAAAGAAAAAAGCGACTTACTCCTAAAACTCAGACAATATTCCCATCCTGACATTGTGTGGCGGGAGCCTGGGTCTGTTCCCCAACCCCCAGTGTTCGTAGATCGAGTTATTTTGACAAGCCAGGGTGGCAGGTATCGGATGGAAAAAATGGGATGATTTGGAACAAAAAGAACATGGCTCAAGTCCAAATTCCGTTACTTAGATCTGACTGAGCTTGAGCACATCAATTGACTTCTGTAAGCATTAGGTTCCTCTGAAAAACAAACTCAGTACCCTACTACCTAACACCAAAACAAAAGCACTTTGAAAATTCTAAGGCAGTATTGTCAAACTCTAGTGTGCCTCAGAATTACCTGGAAGGCTTGTTAGAACACAGATGGCTGTGCCCCACCTTTAGAGTTTCTACTTCAGTAGGTCTTGGGTGGTGCCTAGAAATTTGCATTCTAACAAGTTGCCTGGTGATGTTGATGCTGCTGGACCAGGAGCCACACTTTGAGAATGACTTCTCTAAAATACTATACAAAGATAAATAAATAACATTACTTTAGTACTAGGTGCCAAAGTAGCTATTAAATACTTCACCGGAGAAAGAAGTCCTCTGAAATAAAATACAACCCATTGCTTAAGGCTGTGGCGAGGCTGAACATAGATGCGCCCTCAGTACGCAGAACATCTCAGACTACCACAAGGATTACCACAGGAGGCATGGACGTGATGTGGTGACATTTTTTCCACCAGACACTGCTGTGCTCAACAAATTGAAAGAGAGGAGTGCCTTAGACACACAATTCATTTTAAAGTCCCAAAATACTGGCTTTCTAGTAGAAATCAATTCCCTATTTGGGAATTTGACTTTATTCTTGTTTTTGCTTTTTAAATCTTACCAATTAAGTTTTGATCAAGGATAATTTGGACTCCGTTTCCAATAGAAATATTTGGTAAATAGCAGTATCCCTTTACACAAAGCTAATTGAGGGATGGCAAGCTTTGGTAGTGGTGGTTAATTGTAATTCCATTCCTTCCATCTAGTTCACTACTATTAAATATAAAAACACAAAAATTATAGTGTTAAGACTGCTGTTTGGACAGAATTTTAAGATTTAATTTAAAACTTTCAAGAACATTGGAAGTTTCTTTCTAAGATAAACTTATTTTCAAGAGCGAAAGAAAATAAAGAACTATAAAAATAAAATTATTCATAGCATTTATACACACTTATCTTCCATGGTAATGCCGAAGTTACTCTTTTCTTCATGTGCCACTCAAAATAGCACAATTTGCCTTCTTAAATGGACCCTTGACAAAGAAGTTATGTTAAAGTGATCATTTCACGATGTCCCTTGTGTCTTAAAAATATCCTGGGGGTTCAAGTCGGCATCCAAGGAAGACCCCTCTACTTTGTTCAATTTGACCACAAATCATTATTCTACAACATGAAAACCTTAGAACATTTTAAAAGACCAAAGTTTCTTTCTTCCTCCATTAAGACTCAGTGCTGTATTAACATATTTCTACTGCAGACCTACTTGTCAAAATCAAACTTATGACGTGCTTTAGGCCAGAGCCTGGTGTCACCTTCTGAGTCAGTTTTCTTATTAATCTTCTGGCTTACTAGAAAAATGTTATGAGGTATTTGTGCATAGTAAAGATAGATCAGATAGTGTTGAGAACGACACAGCATTTTTTCTAACAGCACTAGCTAGCATGCTAGCATGGTTGAAAATGTAAGTTATACTACATGTTCCTGTTCTGAGAATATGAATGCATATGAGCTTCCTAAAATAAATCTCTTAAATTCATTAACACCTTTCCCAACAAGCCCTTCAATAGCCCTCTCAAAAGCTTTCGAATAAATAGATGTAGAGAAGAGTCTCTATTTACCTTTGTTTGATGACTTGCTGGAAAATCGATATAGACCATTGACATAATTAGGGACAATAAATGGACTCAGAAACTAGTTTTTCAATGGGGAAGTGGATAGGGGAGCTATGTAGCTATGAACTACAGAGAACTGGATTACAAAATCCACACAGTAGTCCCTCCTATGCAAAATAATTGTTTGGGCTGCCTGTCATATTTAATAACCATGAAAATTGTAAATTACTGACAGTGATCATGTTGAATTCCCAAACTTAATATACACCCAGGCTTATTATAAAATATTTACATTTTATTGAAAATGCGTAAGTAATTTACAATTCCAGCAAAAAGTATAGTTGTGATTCCAAATATGTATATAATGAACATTCCATTCAACTTATCCCTAACATGGGTAAAATAAGCAACTTGTAACTTTGATGAAATCTCAAATAAACTATTTGATAATGAAAAACTACCTAATGTAATGTGATAAGAAAATACATCTTGGGAAATACTTAACAAATTTGCTTGAGACAAAGAGATAAAGCACCAAAGCCACTGAACCATTGTCTTAGTGCAATAAAGAATGGGGGCTCTATTCTCTGCAAATCCTAAGTGAGATAAGGCAAATTCTCGTGATATGTCCTCTCCATATTCTCAGGTTCTGAAAGACATATGCTCAAACAAGCTTAACTTCTTATTGAAGAACAAGAAGGCTGTTAAGGAGCAGGTGTATCCTAGTCAGATCTTCTACACTGTCTTACAATGCCCTAAACCTTTAGCTCTTTTTGCATGTGTGTTGGGGAGGGGAGTAGCTGATTTGATGATGTCATGAATTGTTTTCTTCCATGATATGTAAAATGGAACATAGTTCAAGCTTTATCACATTAAGATATATAAATGACTTTAAGGTCCATTCCCCCTTTATATTAATGAAGTCATTCACAATGAATAATATGTTTATTTTTCCCATTCTTTTTTCAGAGAGTGGAAGCAAATATAGGTCCATAAATATCCCAAAAACCACTAAAAAGACTGGATTACTAACCTTTATGGCTCATTACCTCAGTCTCAAAATCTCTTAAAGCTCTTCGACGGTTAATCTTGAATTTATTTTCATTTAATTGTTCAAGTTGCCCATCACACTGAACATTATTCTACTAAGCACAAAAGAAAAAAAATACACCTATCTATGTATATTATATAAAATATATGCTTATAAAATTATATAAGTAAAACCACACCCATATGTTTTTCCAATACACATTATAAGAAGGCTCTGCTGGCACTCATTTGTTTTATTGGTTTAATAAATTATTGATGATCTAATAAGTGTCAGGCACTAAATACTGGGTAAAAATATTAGATATGTTACCTAACTTTGTGAACTTCACACACTACTAAGGGAGACAAACTCAAACAGATAATTACAACATAGTGTGAAAGGTGCTTTATTAGAGTTTTTTTTTTTCATTTTACTACAAATACAAAACAAGAGACCCATTAGTTGAGTTTCCCTAAAAGCTTCATGTCTGAGTCTTTCTCTGTGTCTAGGAGTTTCCTCATAACTCATCAACTTGTGATACCACCCACCCTCATCTATCCTACCAGCCCACACACTACCACTGTTACACATGAAGGTTAACTGCTTGCTTTAATTCAGTCAATCTGTAAACCCCCATCCCTGGCAGCAGTTCATTGTCATTATCAAGTGATTTCAAAACTATCCCCACCACAAACACATCCACCTATCAGTGAGCAAAATTAGTTCTGCTGCTCTTCCAGAGTACATCAAAGCAAACGTAAACATTTTAAGTGGGCCACAAAATGAGAATGGCATTAACAGTCCTTGACTCAAAAGAACAAAAGCATTGGCACGAATGCCTGATAGTTTCCTTTTAAACAGAGACTTGATATACTCTGAGCACTTATGGGGCTGGATCCAGGCTCTATGCTGGGTATTGTGGAATCAGAAATGAGTGATACCTGGTCGCTGCTGTAGAGGATTATGTACTCTAACAATTGTTATTAAAATAAAGAAACTGGCTTTAAGACATGTATTTGTAACAGAACTGTTACCAGCAAATTTGACTACACAATGCTTCTTTATAAGAATTTTCTCCTTTGTTAGCTCTTCAACTACCAATTTTAAATATAGAAGACATGTTTTTAATAGTGCATGGGGGTAGGGATACTGCCTTATTCATTGAGTTAAAATGTTTTTTTCTCTAAGAAAAGTCAGTAGAATGTGGGAATTTACAGAATGCCAACAATACTGAAGGAAGTGCTTTCCAGTACTGTTCATGGCTTTCCAGTACAGTTCATGCAGAATTCTCTTTGTCCTGGGGCATTAGTTCCAGTATTGGACCCTCTGATATTATACAAAATTCGTCTGTCCAAGACGCCCTTGACTATTTCCTGAAATAGTCCTTTTTCCTCTGGACTGGATACATTAACAATCTTTAATAAATTTAGATGGCATTATTGCACTTTAGCAGTAGGTCTCTATCAATTACCCTGCATGGTTTTCAAATTCAAGGTTGATTCATATGAACTGGGTAAGACTGAAATTCTGCATATTATATTCTGTTTTATTATCAGTGCTATTTGCAGACAGGAGACAAAAAAATGCTTACCAATTCTCATCATGTTCATTCCCTAACTGATATTAGCTTCCAATGAGTGCTTTTTATTTAACATGGTGGGCAAAAAGGTTATTTTATTCATTTTTTGTCATTTTTCATTTATGATTCTTTTTTTTTTCCTTCCATGCTGCAGAAAGGCATAACCATTGCACTATTTCTAAAACACCAATGCTTGGTTTTGGTTTGGTTACTTTGGAAAGTCTCCTAACTGAGCAGTGAGAAGAGTTTTTTACCTTGAGGGATAGGAGAAAAATAAATTTTTACCCCCCAACAAACCCTAACTGTAAACACAGGCCTGGCTCTCCGTGACCCTAGATGCCGCCAGTTACACACGTGCATGGAGCATGGGAATCCTCTTAGCTGCCGCCCTCACCTGCCACTTCCATCACTCTGTGGCCGCAGCTCCTCTGAGAAGGCAGTAAATCTGTCAATAGGGCCTAGCACCAAATGGCACGGGGTTCCTATCTAGCCTTTTAAGACAAGCCCTCCAGATGATTTCTTCTCTTTAGATTGACATTAATGTTAAATGCAGAAGACTGATACCAAAATCTTTACTTAAGTTGCTTTTCCTCTTAAAAAATTTTATCAATAGAAACTGATAAGAACAAATTTCAAAGAATCATCTAAAAGTATCCATACTTCAAAAATCAAAAACACTCATTTTGTTTTGGTTTGCCTGTAAATACTGCCTAGGGGCTGAAGAGCTGGAGATAAACTGAGGGATGCATTGAGAGGAGGTCACTTGGCAGTCAGGTTTGAAGACTGCACTTCTGAAGCTCCATCAACTACTTCAAGCAAAAGCCTTTATTGATCCACCTTTAACTTGGAACACTGTCGTTTTAGCTTCCTTTTCTCCCATTAGTTCCAGTTCAGTCCTGTTATTAATCATGTATTGAAATAGAAAGAGGGTCACAACGTAATGTGAGGCAGGGTAGCAGGGGCACAAGATTCTGCATTCTAAGTATTGTAGCCCTTTGGAAAAGATGGCTTCAATCTTTTGAAGCCTCAAGCCTCCCTACTCATAATACAACTACTTTCCCAAAAGGGAATTGATTTGTAGTATTTCAGTATTTCAAATATATACCTCATATTTAAAATAAGTTTCATAGTATGTTGTTCTCTCTCTCTCTCTTTCTGTCTCTCTCTTTCTATATATATAAAATATATATCGATATATATTATATATATCAATATATAGATGTTATCTATAGATATTATATAGTATATAATATATTATAATATATAATATATAGATATAAACTATAATATAGATCTATATATTATATAGATATATATATAAAGGGAGTATATATATAGAGAGAGAGAGAGTATACACACACACACATATATAAATATACTTAAGTGCTCAAATGCTATAATGGGAAGAATGACATTTTAGAGTTAGATCTGGTTCAAATTCTGTCTTAGCCACTTAGATTTATGAATATTAAATAAGAAAGTAGATATAAGTATCTATACATGTGACTTAAAATATATTAGTTATTATTTCTTTCTTATGAAAACACTTTTGCAAAATTATGACAAGACAAATCTGTTACAGTTGACTCCATCTTGCTTCTGACCTCCAAGCTGTCCTTGGTCATTCCTGGGCATAGGCCAAGCTAACTTTGGGAGGAATTTAGTTGATAGTTTACCCTTAAACAAGGATGATAATAGCGCTTCCCAAAACTAAACCAACTTTGTAAAACTGATGAAAGGCCACTAGATTAGAATTATGAAGGAGGCCTCCACTCTGCTTAAGATATAGGAGTAGTTTCTATACTCCCTACTGCTCTGAAGTTATGTGCCAGGGGTCACAAGATCTGTAACTTCCACAGTTGCTTCTGTAGATAACATCACTATTGTAGAACCTAAGATTGGTCTTTTGAGGTTTTTTTCTCAGATTTTTGCATTCTGACAACCAAGGGACCCTGCCCTGACCATGACTCATGACTCAACCAGTCCTGTGGCATCACCCAGAGGAGGACTCAGCACACAAGGACCATTTTCCACACCCCTTTGATTTCACCCCCAACCAATCAGCAGCACCCATTCCCAAGCCCCATACCCATCAAATTGTCCATAAAAACCCTAACCCTGCCAGCCTTTAGAGAGACTGATATGAGTAGAAACTCCAGTTCTCCTGTGGCTGGGCTCAAGTTAATTAAACTCTTTCTTTACTGATCTCAGTGAATTCGTTTTGTCTGTGCAGAGGGCCAGAAGAACCTGTTGGGTAATTACATTTAGCAGCCATAAAATATTAGAATTAAAAACAGTTTAGATTACTTTTACATAATCAATGCAATATTTTGTTTTTAAATCCCCTACTAACTATGACTTGATTTCTGATTATTTTAGTACTGTTTTTCCCCCTATATGGGCTGGCATTGCTTTGTTTAATAAGCTAAACTCAAGAGAAGTTTGGTGGGCAGAATTTTAAGATGGTGGCAAGAATCCTGTCTCCTGGCAAACACACTGTTTATAATCTACTCAAGCGCAGTCTGGAGCCATGAATATGATGGAATAATAGCTCTTGATGAGGTTATGTCCTGTGAGCAAGGTGATGGGACAGTCATCCCCTGATGTGTTACATTATATAAGACAATGCCTTAGTAGACTGAAGAAAAAGAGGTTCTCCTACTAGCCTTGACCTTAGGAAGGAAGCTGCTGTGTTGTAAGAAAGCCATGTGGCAGGGCACTAAGGTGGCCTCTAAAACTGAGGGCAGCTTGCTGCTGACAGCAAGAAAACAGAGGCCTCAGTCCTACAAACATAAGGAGCTGGATTCTGCCAACAACCACATGGTCTTGGAAGACCCTGAGCTCCAAAGGAGAATGCAGCCTGGTCAAAATCCTGACTGCAGCCTTGTGAGACTCTGAGTAGAGGACCCGGGCAACCATGCCCAGACTCCTGACACAGGGAAACTGAGATAACATGTATGTGTTGCTTTAAGCTGTTGAATTCATGGTAATTTGCCACACAGCATAGAAAACTAATACAAGAAGCAAATCAACATTTCATATTAAGTATTCAGTTTAAAAGTCATTCCTTCAAAGAGAGATTAAAGTAAGAGTAATTGAATCCTTCAGCCCTAATCTGTTAGGAAAGGTATGCCTATCTATTAAGGATCTATACGGAATAAATATCAGTTGGCAGTGAAACAGGGGCCTATTTGTAAAAAGGAAAAAAAAATAGCTATGCTACAAACAGTATTTACAGTAAGAGAGACTCTGGAGTAATAGAAAAACAGCTCGTGTTTCTTGGTTATTTCTTGTGCCCAGGTTCTGTTCTAAGTCTTCTACAGTTTACATCTTTAGATATTTTCCCATAGCTTATCATTAAAGTTGATGAAAAGTCAAGACATTTTTCTCAATACTATTTTTTCAAAATAGTACTGGTGTTTGGAAGAACACCTAGATTAGATCTAAATTTATAACTGTTAAAATCTACGTTATTATTCATATGGAATTTCAATGCATCCTAAATAGTGTAATCTTGAAAAAGAACAAGTTGGAGGTCTTACACGTCCTGATTTCAAAACATACGACAAAGCTACAATAATCAAATCAGTGTGGTAGTAGAATAACAACAGACATATAGATGAATGGAATAAGATTAAAAAAAAAAACGAAATAAGCCTTCATTTATGTGGTCAAACAATTTTTGACAAGGGTGCCAAGCCCATTCATTAGGGAAAGAATAGTCTTTTCAACAAATGGCACTGGGAAAATGGGATATCCACACGTGAAATAATGAAGTTTGCCCCTTGCCTCACACCAAGTATAATAATTAATTTAAAATGAAGCAAAGAGCTAAATGTAAGACCTAAAGCACTCTTAGCAGAAAACATAGAGGAAAGACTTCATGACATTAGATTTTGCAATGATTTCCTGGATATGGCAGTAAGCACAAGCAACAAAAGAAAAATAGTAGATAAGTTGAACTTCATCAAAATTTAAACTTTGTGTATCAAAGGTTACTATCAACAAAGTGAAAAGGCAATAAGCACACTGAACATTTGCAAATTATACATCTGATAAGGGGTTAATATCCTGAATTTAGAAAGAATTTCTACAACTCAACAACAACAAAAACAACCTGATTTAAAAATGGGCAAATATTTCTCCAAAGAAGATATACAAAGGGCCAATAAGCACAAAATAAGATGGTCAACATCACTACTCATTAGGGAAATGCAAACCAAAACCACAATCAGATACCACTTCACATTCATTAGGATGGCTATTACTGGTTTTTTAAAAAGAAAAATAAAGGAAAGAAAAACAGGAGGTAACTAATGTTGATAGGAAGTAGAGAAACTGGAACCCTTGTACACTGCTGGTTGGAATGCAAAATGGAACAGCTGTTATGGAAAACAGTATGGAGTTCCTCAAAAAATTTAAAATTGAATTACTATATGACTCAGCAATCTACTTCCAAATACATATCCAAAACAATTTAAAGCAGACACTTGAACAGGTATTTGCACACCCATGTTTACAGCAGCATTATTTGCAATAGTCAAAACCAACCCAAATGTCTATTGAGAAATGAATAGACTAAATGTGAGATATACATGCTATAGAATATTATTCAGCCTTAAAAAGGAGTCAAATTCTACCGCATGATACAACGTGGATAAAACTCGAAGACATGCTAAGTGAAGTAAGCTAGTCACAAGAGAACACATAGCTTATAATTCCACATGTATGAGGTACCCAGAATAGTCAAATTATAGAGACAAAAAGTAGAATGGTGGTTGCCAGGAGCTGGGGAGAGGGGAAAATGGGGATTATAATGGGTATAGACTTCCAGTTTGGGAAGATGAAAAATGTTCTAGGGATGGATGGTGGTGACAGTTGCAGAACAATGTGAATTTACTTAATGGTACTGAACCATACACTTAAAAATGGTTAAAATGGTAAACTTTATGTTATGTGTATTTTACTACAGTAAAAAAAAAAAATTTTAAACCCAACATTCTACCAGAAGATCGTTTTAATCAACATATGGGAAAATTTGTTCACACCTGCTTGGTAGCACTACACTTTTAAGAGCCTGTCCCTGTACACTAACCAAGTTTCCCAATAAGCATAACCAATAGCAAATTTAAATATCAAGAGTCCTTACTTGAAATGCTGTAGGTAAGCCATTATATTGTGGCAGTTACTTCAGAATTGGAAAAACTAAATTTAATTTCTAGTTCTACCACTTAGCTATGGAAAATCGAACAAGTGCTTAATCTCTTAATTTCTCCATCTGTAAAAACTCTGTCCCTTTAGGATTGCTGCAAAGACTGCTATAAGAGGATGTATATATGCATGTTAATAGGGGCAATCTCAAGTGTTCATTTAGCATCCTTCCACGTGGTTATTCGGGATCCCGGTTGTTTTCATCTCACTGTACCACTATCTAGCAAAGATTCCTCAGAGTCATCCACAGGCTTCTCTGCATTGAACCAACAAAAATATTAAGAGTGAGGAAAATTATACAGGATAATTTTATGACCAGGTATGTAAATGAAGTTCAAGTCCACCATGAACATTTCACTGGCCAGAACCTGATCCCACGGTTGCAACCCACCAGCAAAGCAAGCTGGTAAACATAATCCTCTGTTCGCCCCAGAAGAGAAAATGAAATTGATAAGCATCTAGTCAGTTTCTGCTACAAATGCCAAAGAAAAAGTTGTTTCCTGTCCCATAAGGAACATCTCCAAGAACATAGTGAAAGTGAAGAAGTAGATTATCTCATTTTGGACCAGGAGCGGTGGCTCACGCCTGTAATCCCAGCACTTTGGGAGGCCGAGGCGGGCGGATCAGCTGAGGTCAGGAGTTCAAGACCAGGAGTTCACCAACATGGTGAAACCCCGTCTCTACTAAAAATACAAAAAATTAGCCAGGCATGGTGGCGGGTGCCTGTAATCCCAGCTACTTGGGAGGCTGAGGCAGGATAATCGCTTGAACCCAGGAGGCGGAGCTTGCAGTGAGCCTCAATCTCTCCACTGCTCTCCATCCTGGACAACAAGAGCAAAACTCCCATCTCAGAAAAAAAAAAAATTATCTCCGTTCTTCTTGGACCACTTGACAACTACCTTGTTTCAGATGCCTCTCTCTTTGCAGTGAGATACATTTGCCATCAGGCAATTGTTTTTCTGAGCTACTTGAAGCCACACAATAAACATTGTGCATTTTCCTGGAATATCTTAACTGGTTGGGGGAGTAGGGTAGGGGTGTAGTCAGATATGTGTTATTTAACTTGTACATAATTTAAAACTTTAAATTTATAAGGCAAACTTGAATATAATATGAAGTAGAATGCAAACTTCACATTAATTTTTTAATAGAGAAAACATGAGACTTCAAAAAAAATTGTATACAGGAAGGGAGCCCTTTAGGTTGAATTTTTTCCTACTACTATGTGTACACGTTCATTCTGTTCTGAGGTTATTTTAAGGGAAAAGGGTGAGAGGCACTGAATTATATATTGACTTTTATGTTTTTAATTATTTAATAGACTCTACCTCTTTCTTGTATATTTTTGAGATATATAAACTATACATGTATTTATAATTGCTAAATATTAGCATAAGCTGAATATTATGCACTAGCTACACTGAAACTTACATTGCCTCCCTATACCTTCAGTATAAATATATCAACACATTCTTTCAGCAAAAATGTTATCATTCCAATGCTATTATGCTTGCAATGCCACCTAACCATTAAAAGCAGTTCTCTTTTGCAAGTGTTCAAAGAGGTTGGACAGATGAGATAAGACAAAGTTTAAGCAAGCCAAAGTAACTACTTAGTTCAAATTTGTTTCAGTCAACATTAGGAGGAGGCAGCTTGTTGTTGCCAGGATTTCCAGATCTAAAACATTTGTTTATTTGATTGTGTAATGTAGATAAAGCTTAACTCTTTCACCTCACATTTTATTATTTTATCTTAGAGAAGAAATTCATGCTAATTGCAACCAAGGAATCAAGCTAAAATGCATGAAGAGTTAATGATTTCACCCCTTTTCCTTTCACTCCCACACTGGATAACCAGTGTTAACATTCTTCTTCTTGAGCATACAGATATATACAAGTGTACAGGTATGTAAGATTCTTAGATGTAAGTGGGATTGTACCATACACAACGCATTTCTCACTTATATTATCAACATTCCACCAGTTCATAGATATGGATCTAATTCATTTTCAGTTAAAAAATGTATTCTCTAATATGAAATACCGTAATTGATTCCACTATTTAATTATTCATGAATACTCCTTGGCTTTTTTGTTTATGTGTTTGCTAATTACTATTAAAAATTCTGCAATAAATACCCTTTTATATATTTGTTTATAGAATGGAGCTTTCATTTATTACTATAAGGTAGATTGTCAAAGAGCCAATGGATATGTTTATCTTTAATCTCAAAATTGGTCTATTTAATATATATTGGTCTATGCTTTATTCTATTTGCCTGATCTGATTATCTTTTCCTGGGCCAGTAACACAGCTTTGATTATAGTGTGTGGTAGAGATGACTATTATTCATCAATATCTGTGTGCTCCTCTTTTTCCTGAGTATATCACTAGAAGACACTTCTTATCCCTCTTGCATTTAGGGAAGGCCACATGATTAGTGTCTACTTTCCACGGAAGTTTAGGAAAAGTGAGGTTTCTCCATCTTTTTGCCATAAACTTAATGAATAGGAAAACTTTCAGAAGGAAGAGCCCCAAGACAGAAGGAACACAGCTGTGCCACTTTATCAAGGTATTGCTTCTTAGCTTAAATCTGCCTACTTTCCCCTGCTTCATTACACTGGAGCTAGAGCCTGTAAACATTTCTCCTTCGTCAGGTGGCACAAGATTAAACATCAGATTAACCTTAGTGAGTGGAAGGTGTTAGAGGGACACTTTAAGGGGAAGGGACTTCTCTTCCTCCTTCTGAGGTGATTTTTCCTTTTGAATCATTTGATTGATTGATTGATTGGAGACAATGGCTCACTCTGTCCCCCAAGCTGAAGTGCAGTGGCACAATCATGGCTCACTGCATCCTCAACCTCCCAGGCTCAAGTGTTCCTCCCACCTTAGCCTCCCAAGTAGCTGGGGCTACAGGTGCGTGTCACCACACTGGATAATTTTTGTATTTTTTTTTTGTAGAGAGAGTGTTTTGCCATGTTGCCCAGGCTGGTCAGGAACACCTGAACTCAAGTGACCTGCCCACCTCAGCCTCCCAAAGTGCTGAGATTACAGGTGTGAGCCACTGTGCCCGGCCCTTCCTGTTGATTCTTGGAGCACGTGGCACCTGGTAGCATTCACCCTCCAGCAACTTCCCTAGACACACCAGCAGGCAGCTTCTGAGAGAGTCTTGCTAGCACCACAGTGATCAGTTTTCTGCCTATCAGCCCCAGCCAGTGGCAGCAAACTTTTCCACTTCCAAGGGACACATTCCAAAGAGCTCCAATTGTCAGTCTTGAGTGGGGTTGGGTCTTCAAGTCTATTCTTTCCTTGGCTACTCTGCCTCAGCCCTATAAGGAGTGACTGCTCCCCAATTCTTCTATTCTTCTATTCTTTAGAATTTTCTCCACACCTTAGTCGTTAATCCCCCGCTTAATAAATCTTTATATTACATTTTCCCTATTCCAATAACTGATGTGGTTTCTGTCTCCTGGTTGATATAGCATATCACTGAGTGACTGCTAGAAAAGGTCTCCCGCTTCTACCACCAGTTACATGAGTATGACCTGTGTTTGGTTGCTAAAATTTGGGGGATGCTGGCTGCAAAATTAGACTGAACAACCAGTTGAATTATGGAGTTATGGTGATAGTTAATACCTGGTAAATCAAGGACTCTACACTTTTTCAAATTGGCATACCTATTCTCAGCTAATACTTCAATATGAAATCTGACTTTATCACATTCCAATAAATAAAAATTCTATTCCACTAGAATACTAATTGACATAATATATTTATGAAATGTAATATTTTTACAATATTAAGTCTCTTCCCTGGGAAAGATATTATGCCTGTATATTTGTTTAGACTTTCTATAATGTCCTCCAATAATTTGTTGTTTTTGTATAGAAAATATCTTATCAAATTAATTTTATCACTACTTCAAATGAGATATTTTTCTGCTTCCATTTTTAAATAGCTTTTTTCTCTTTTCTGAGACAGGGTCTCATTCTCTCAGCGAAGGTGGAGTGCAACGATACAGTCACAGCTCACTGCAGTCTCAATTTGCCAGACTCAAGTGATCCTCCCACCTCAGCCTCCCAAGTAGCTGGGACTACAGGCACATGCCACCATGCCTAATTTTTAAATTTTTTGTACAGATGGGGACTTACTATGTTGCCTAGGCTGGTCTCAAATTCCTGAACTCAAATGATCCTCTCCCCAGGCTTCACAAATGCTGGGATTATAGGCATGAGCCACTGTTCCCAGCCTAAATTATTTTTTTCTAATTCAAGAATTTCTATAGATTTTTACAAGCTGATTTTTAAAATTCAGCCAATATTCCAATTTTTCATATTAAATTTAGGAGTTTTAAGGAAAATCCTTTTGGGTTTTTGTCATCTAAAAGATACAAATCTATCCAATGTTTACATTGTTTTATTTTTTATTGCATTAGTTAATACCTCTAAAATGTTTTATAAAAGGGTAAAAGTGGATATTCCACAATTTTTTTCTAATTTTTATGGAAATAGCTTAACATTGTACCATTTATTTTCTCACTTCCTGGTGCAGATAAATAAACTTGTCCTTCTCTTCCTTTCAGTTAGAGTTTTACATAACAAATAATTGTTTGGGTTTTATCGAATGTCTTTGTGGCAATCATGAGTATAGTCATACGGTTTTCTACTTAATTGGTTGGTATAAGAAATTAGGCTTAGATTTCCTCCTGGTACCACTAGTTTCAACTCCCTCATACAGAATCTAAGGCATATTCCTAGACTTGAAATCATCTACGGAAGGCTTGTTTGGCCAAGAAACCATAAAGCTCCAAGTGTTCCACATACGACCTTGTTCCATTGCCTCAGCACTGCCCACACAGTGATAGGGAACTCAGGAATGCCACATGGTCTGGTATGGTTTGTCTATGTGTCCACCCAAATCTCATCTTGAACTGTAGTTCCCATAATCTCCAGTTGCCATGGTAGGGATCCGGTGGGAGGTAAATTATTGGGGTGGTTACCTCCATGTTGTTCTCCTGATAGTGAGTTTTTAAGCGATCTCATGGTTTTATAAGGAGCTTTTCCCTCTCTTTGTTTCCCCTATCATTGTTTGCTTCCCCTTCTGCCATGATTGTAAATTTCCTGAGGGCTCCTCAGCCCTGTGGGACTGTGAGTCAATTAAACCTTTTCCTTTATAAATTACCCAGTCTCAGGTATGTCCTTACAGCAGCATGAGAACGGACTAACATGTGGTCCCAGTGAGACCACTTTTCTCCTACCACATAAAACACCCTGCTTCACCAATGCAAATTGCTTAAGAAACCACCCCCTAAAGGAGAATATCATTAGATCCGACCATTTACTCTTCTTACAAGACCATTAAAGCTAATGCCAACATGCACTATGTCCCTAGTTAACATAATCCCATCAATGGGAGTGCAAGCCACCCCATATATTTTTAGGCAGTTTTCATTCCCAGATCTTATCCTCTAAGCTATGTAGACCCTCTAATCTGATTGAAGCCCTCAGTCCTAACTGATTCTCCCAGTGGGTCCCATTTGTGGTTGTACTGGCATTTTGGTGCAGGAATCAGAGATATTAAATGTCCTCCCTTATCCTGGAGAGCTTCTGCACTGTAAAAATGATCTCACTTAAATTGCCAATAGTTTATCTGTTAAGAAACATGACATTTTCTTATGTGTCCTCTAAAACTTCTGTTTATTATCAGCAACAGCTTCTCTATCCTCAACTCCATCTCTGAATGTTCATTTTACTTTCCTGCTCTAAGACAAACTGGGCCAGCTACCCACTGAGGGACTCTTCCCAAGTAGAGGCTGTTATATCTACAATACCCCAAGCTCCTTAGTTTCAGCCACAGCCAGATGTCAGTCTATTCTGCCCGTTATTAAAATCCAAAACCTATGAACTTAACTTCAATTGCAAGAAACTTCCCTTTTAGAGGCTAATTATTATGTTTTTGTTTTTGTTTTTGCTTTGAGATGTAGTCTCCCTCTGTCACCCAGGCTGGAGTGCAGTGGCATGATCTCAGCTCCCTGCAACCTCTGCTTCCTGAATTCAAGCAATTCTCCTGCCTCAGCCTCCAGAGTAGCTGGGATTACAAGCATGCGCCACCATGCCCGGCTAATAGAGGCTAATTATTATGTTGGTGCAAAAGTAATTGCGGTTTTAGACCATGAATTTTAAATCATTATAACTAGGCTCAAATACATCTTTATTAATCACAATCGGAACCATTAAAATTAACACATTTTTGCCAATGAGAAATAAGTTTGTTTATTCCTGTAGCATAAAAATCTGTGCTTCGGGATTTGACAAACTCTTAGAAAGCATTTTCTGCATCCTGCTGGTTGTAGAAGGTTTTCCCTGCAAAACAAACAAACAAAAATTGTCGAGATACTTGAAGAAGTGGTAGTCAGTTGGCAAGAGATCATGTGAATATGGTGGATGAGGCAAAATTTTGTAGCCCAAGTCGTTCAACTTTTGAAGCATTGGTTGTGCGACGTGTGGTCCTGAGTTGTCGTGGAGAAGAATTGAGCCCGTTCTGTTGGCCAGTGCTGGTTGCAGGCATTGCGGTATTTGGTGCACCTCATAGATTTGCTGAGCATATTTCTCAGATGTAATTATTTCACCAGGATTCAGAAAGATGTAGTGGATCAGACCGGCAGCAGACCACCAAACAGTCACCAAGTTTGAGTTTGGGAAGTGCTTTGGATCTTCTCGGTCCAACCACTGAGCTGGTCATCGCCAGTTGTCATATAAAATCCACTTTTTGTCGCACATCACAATCCGATCAAAAAATGGTTCGTTTGTTGTTGTGTAGAGTAAGAGAAGATGACACTTTAAAACGACGATTTTTTTTATTTTCGCTCAACTCATGAGGCACCCAGTTATCCAGCTGTTTCACCTTTCCTGTTTGCTTCAAATGCCAAACTACTGTAGAAAGATCGACATTGAGTTCTTCGGCAACTTCTTGAGTAGTTGTAAGAGAATCAGCTTCGATAATTGCTTTCATTTGGTCTTTGTCAACTTCTGATGGCCAGCCACTATGCTCCTCATCTTCAAGGCTCTTGTCTCCTTTGCAAAATTTGAACCACCACTGCACTGTACATTTGTTAGCAGTTCCTGAGCCAAATGTGTTGTTGATGTGGCAAGTTGTCTTCACTGCTTTATGACCCATTTTGAACTCAAATAAGAAAATTGCTGGAATTTGTTTTTTGTCTAACATCATTTCCATAGTCTAAAATAAACAGCAAGTAATAAGTCATAAGCAAAAAAAAAATAAAGTGAGAAATGCCCATTAAAATGATGTATAATATAACCACATTTATTTAAGAATGTACTCCAATATCAAACAGCAAATTCCAACAATGCAAAAACCACAATTACATTTGCACCAACCTAATGGGTTTATTTCTAAGAGACAATTCTCTCTTAAGATTTTGGCACCTTTCTCAGATTGTAGCATTGGAAAGTCTTGTGTTCTTGCATAGAACGTTACATTGGTAGTAAACCCAGACAGCATGCCTTATTTGAAAAGCCTTCACCCTTTGCCCAAATCTAGCTTTTTTAGAACCTTTTAATTACCCTCTGGGCCTGTGTTGTCAGCTTCCCATATATGCCTATGAAACCCATAGGCATATATCCGATCTATCCATCCACCCATCTCCAATATATCTGTATATTTTTTTCAGCTGGGAAAGCAGCCTTAGAAGAACGTTTATCTGAAGATTCTACTGAATATTTACTAATGGCTCTGAAGTTTGTGACCCCTAGTGCCTTGTGAGGAGGGAACTGTTTTTCACTTGCCACTAAGAATAGCCTTAAGTATTATTCTCTCCTGATCTCTTACTCTAGAGATTCTCCACCTGATAGACATTAGAATCACCTGGAGAGCACTGCAAAGAGGCTATTGCCAGGACCTCACCACCATATATTCCAGTAAAATTGGTTTGTGGAGAGGCCCAGGTCTCAGTATTTTTTTTAATTCTCCAGCTGATTCTAATGTGCAGCCACCATTGAAAAACCACTGTCATACTTTTCAACTGAGTTGATAACAGTTCCAACTTCTTTGTTGACTCTTTTGTGGCCTTCCACAAGTAAGGCCAATGCTACTTGTTAGTTTTAAAAACCCTCTATCCTACCTTCCTTTGTATTCTGGTGAACACGTTGTGTTTTCCTAATTTAATAATTTAGATTTCATCTTGTGAAATCCCATATTGTAGCAATTATGAAATCAATGATCACTGTCTTCCCAAAGCATCTGTTGTTCATATAATTTTTATCTGCCATCATTTCAGAGTCAGATAATTTCATTCAGGCTCATTCTTTCATCCAACCAAGATCTATTCCAACTGCATCTATTCTTATTCTACCAGGTTTCTGACTGATAAGCCTCATCACTGCTGCACATTCCCTTGAATTTCACAATTTTTAGTTATGTTCCCAAAGACACAGCCTGCAGAGTCATCTGCCGTACTGTTGAACTCATTTGGATATTCTTTCAGAATCTTATATTGACCTTCTCCCAAATCAATAACCATACAGTCTTATGATACAATCTTTCTATGTTTAATATAGCATAACTAGTTTTATGGAGAATACAGGGTCTAGGAAAGGTATCGGCAGATTTAAGGGACCATTTTACGTTAATCTCCTGGATCTTACTATTAATCTCCTGGATCTTACTATCTGGAAAGTCATTCCAGTTTGCTCTCCATGATCTTCATCCTATTCCTCTGATAAATTTATCTGGGAAAAAGTCATAGTTTCTGATCAATAACAACTCAAATATATACCCATCTTGTGATTTTTCTTGGCCCCTCTTTAAGAGAGCTTAATCCTGGATATATTTCTTTTATTCCCACTGTTTGCAATTTGTACTGCATTTTGATATCCTGTTTTCCACTCTTTACTTTCTCTTAAGTCTTTGAGGATGGAGGTTTTCTCTTAAGGACATACCTCTGTTCTTTTAATATAGTCAGCTTTATTTTCTTGTTTTATTCTTTGTTCTCCCTCTGTTCTTGTTAAGATAGCAAGATTGAAACTCCAGTTTATCTTTGACATCCCGGGAAAAACATGATTCCTAGAGATAGAAATCAGGACATTTTTAATTAATAGTTTTTGTCAACAAAACATTTGGTTTAAAAAATAGTCTTGATTTAGAAAAGTATATATAAATGAACAGTACAAAGACTTATTATAAAATGAACAAACCCATGCAACCATCACCTAGGGCAAAAATTAGAAAATTACCACAAGCAACCCAGAAGCAACCTTCTTGCTACCTGCCAATCATTACTCTCACTACCTCAGAATGTACCCACCAATCTTGACTTCTACCACCACTTCCTATTTTTGAAATTTATATAAATGAAAACATATTTTTAAAAATTTCTGGCTTCTTTCACTCAATGCCATACTTATAAAATGCAATCATGCTGTTGCATGTGCAATAATTTAGCCATTTTATCACAGTATAGTAATTCATTTTATAAATATAATCAAGATATGTCTATTTCTATTTTACCATTAGTAGACATTTACTATTGAAAGTCTTGAAAATTATGAGCAACTTAGGATCTATGAATTCTATCGGTAGCTGTGAAATTATCTTGGCATTAAACTATTACAAATAACACTGCTTTGAATATTCTTTTTTTTTTTTGAATATTCTTATATGTCTCTTTTGGTTGATGTAAGTGTTTGACTTTGTCAGACACATACCTATGGAGTAGAATTGCTGGCTATATGGATCAACTGTGCCAGGATCTAGTTGATGCAGTTTCATGCCCAAGGCTTTGATATATTTTGAAAAAGTTAAATAATGACTTTTTTTTACATTTACCAGTATATATATCCCAGAAAGACATAACTGATCTAATAAAATAATACACAGTGGTGGAAGTAAGTGATATGATTGTAGCTGAACAATTTCCAATATTTAGGCAGAAATGTCATATACTTGAAAAGACAATTAACCATTTATCACAATCTGATAGGCCTGGATCATAGAAGGCTCTGTGAGTCAGGTTACGATGTTTGCCTTAGATTCTCTGGGTAATAGATATTGAGCAACAGAGTGACCTGGATGGAGTTATCCTTTAGGGAGACATCCTGGCAGAACGGCGTGAAGTGAAATGAAGGTGAACTGAAGTCAGTGAGCCATTTAGAATCTTCTCATGAAAGTCCAGAGAAAACACAGAAAGGGATCAAGCTAGAGCAATGACAGTGGATGACAATCACTCTACAAGGAAAAATTGAAGGTTGGGAGACAGGAAAGTTTTCCTGTCCTGGCTGGAGAAACAATTTTTAATGACTGTATAGCCTGTTCTTTGTAAAATTTCCTATCCATTTTCTCAGGAGGAGACAAGATAGGAGAACTTTAGTGGTCAATCACCCTTCTAAGAATCAATTAATAAAGATACCAATAAATACTGATTCCATTTCCTCAGACTGATTCTTTTAAGTGGGGGAAGTAAAAGGCTGAATTAAAGGTAATATAACAGTCTTATATTTATGTAATTTCTAAGGTAGCTGCATTGCTTGTCAGTGTATACTTAATGTATGATGACAGTTCAGAACTGATTTTTTTCCTTTGGGATTTTTAATAATAATTATTTACTGCATTTTCAAAGCCCTTGTCTATATCAGCAGGATGTTATATTGTATGACAAGCAATTCAAGACTCATACTTCCTAGTAGTGGCCTCTTTTTGGAGACTTCAGAAAATGCCAGGCAGGGGGTGATAACAGAGAAAGAGCTTAATAAATGTTGCACCAAAAATGAATCCAGAAACCAGTCTTTCTTTGTAGTAGTTTCATGACATTCAAATGTACCAAGAGCGTCACCATTGACTTTTCACAGGTTAGAGACATCTTGCAATTTCTAGCCAAACTTCAACTTTGGTTCCAACTTTATATGACTAAGAACAAATTGATTCAACTTAAAAAGAAAAATTGTTATTCCTTTATACAATAAGAATAAGAGGATTAGGAGGGAAAAAAATGTTTACCTCACAGAAGTACAGCAGATTGCACAGAATTGTTCTAACAATTTTAGTCATGCTAATAAAGTCACTGGATTTCCACTCTCATGAGGGAGCTTCTCAAATTACTCAAAAATCTGCTTTGGGTGTTTTTGCTTTCAGAAGCTCAGAAATTACTAGTGGGGGATAGTTAATATCTTCCCACAGAGATAAGAACAGAATCACCAAGAGAATTAAAGGAAAAGCAGAGAAATGGAGCGTTCAGTGCAATGTGCTCAGGAGAATCTGACTGTGAATCTAATGCCAACTCAGCTGCCACTTACAGCCACATCTTCTTTAAAATATAAACTAAAAAAAAAATTACGTTTTGCTGTCGTGCCAAACCCCTATCCACTCCAATGGATATGGTACCAGGTTTAAGAGGCTGAAGAAGAGACCCAGAGCCAGTGAAAAAGACATGGAGTTTTACTGGTGGCTTACATAGAGGGGAGAGAGTCCAGTTGCAGCAGGCTGAACAGGAGAGCCACAACCACTTGCAAAGGCACGCAGTTTACATAGCATTTTCACTGAACACCCTTTCCCTATCAACCTCCACCTGACAACCTTCATTCAACACAAAACTCAAGGCCTTCATGTCCCATGTGACCAGTATTCCACAGGACAAGTCGGGGCTCAGATGTTCCTCACAGAAAAGGAATGAATTGCCAGGTTGGCCACTGCCAGGTTCCCTAGCTTGGAACATACACATTCAGGTGCATCTGTCATACAGGCTTATTTTCAAGACATGCTTAAGTTGTTTCTATCAGATGTGTTTACCATGTATTTGTCAATAGCTTTCTTCAAGAATCACAGCCAGGATGAGGAAGACTTGAAAACAGCACTGTGATCAGAAATTATCCCTTCAGCACAATTTTTCTGATTTTTGTCATTTTGCAAGTCAACATTCAGGGACACCTTGCAGAAATACACTCAGGCACCTGTGTGTACTGTTTATATTTAAGGTTTGTGTTTCTATGTCATTCTTCACTAATACCCAAGATAGCCCTAGGCACTCCTAAAACTATACCAACATTACAAAGTGTCAAGTTAGCACCCCTAAAAAATTATCTCACAGTTACATTTTTAGGACATTCCAAATTCATGGGCTCAGAGGCCTTTCTTGGAGCTCTATCACAGAGGAAGAGACAAGTATATAATGGGCCAGGAGGCTTTCTGTTGTTCTTTCTGTCAAAAATCATTCAGACATGATGTTTATTTGTAGTAGCATTTTTGTCTGGGCTAAAGGAAGATGGATGAACTAAAACCTACTTGGGCTTGTCATTAATGGCCCAAATCAATCATTGAAAAAGGCCACTGCATTACCTCAAGGAGAGGATGAAAGCAATGGCATTTTGGTAAAGAGAGAGATGACTTTACTTCACTGATGGTAATTTTAATCATAAATAATTTATTAATGTCCTCCCTCTTGGTGGTGGACAGATTCTTGATTTATTTATATTAGTGTGGTAAATTGAATCAACTAACTTTACTAAAAGATTAGAAAAATGTTAACCCTATGAAAAGGTAGTAAACAAGCAAGCTACATTCTGTCCTATGTGGTAATATAAGAGATCAACAAAAAGGGTTTGCATCATATTTTCCACAGTACAACCTTTCAAAGTAAAAAAATAATAATTTTGTGGATTGTGCTGAATGTGATGAAACTCCATTAGATCGTGAATTTGAGGTAGGATGGGGTTATCAACGGTTTTGCAAAAGATCACATTTATAGTTCAGAGCTGCCTCAGCTCAGAAGTGTCCTTCATTTATACTCCTTAGTGTATTCACTAAGATAGTAAACGAAAGAAGCTTCATGAATGTCGAATTAGTAGATATCATTTCTGTACTACTTGGTTTCCAGGTCTTTGGGTTCCATAGCAATTGGCATTAGCAAAGATCACAGCCTAGGGGATGGTTAAAATACAATTGTATTCACACTTTTTTTATCCTGCAATAGAAGAGCTATTTTCAATTCGATTGAATACATATATGGGATATAGGCCTAAGAGAGTGACGAATTTAGCTTAGAACAACACTCAGAGGATAAACACATCCCTGTTCTGTGGAATATGCCCACTTTCAACAATGAAGGTGACCCTGCATCGGGAAGTACTTGGCTGGACTAGTTGTTTCCTAGGCTCTTGACCCCAGTGTATTACAACCCGGGATGCTTAAATAACTTGCAAATAAGACTGTAATACCTCTATCAGTGAATGCTAGAGATGAAGAAAAGCCTTATCTAAAAAAAAAAAAGAAGAAGAAGAAGAAGAAACACGAATTGAAGGCTACCAAGCTTGGTATTGATCCTGGTGAAGTTTGTGAAACAAGCCATCAGTGGATGGTTTGTGAGCATTGTAAAGGAGGGTCACTGGATGAAAGATGGAATCACTAAGAGGACACCGTCTTGTCCTTTTTCCTTTTCATTTATTTTGCTTATAGTGTCACTAGAGCAGTTTATTTCTTTGGGAAATGCAGCCCCTCTGGGAAAAAAAAAAGGCTAGTACTAATTTAAAAAGTGAAGAAAGCTGAAGGTGATGGTTCTTTGCCAGAAAATAAAAGTTTGGAAATAGCAAGAGTGAAAAAATAAATTTTATGGTAGTTTAGAAACAATACATAAACAAGTTCACTATGTGATCTATAAAGAAACAAGAAAAAGTTTCATTAAAATAATTCAGTATTTCTTCCAGACCAAAAATAAAAAAATAGTATTTGCTACAGTGGTACTTGCAAATTTTGAAGTCTCAATACAGAAGGTATTATTATCTACAGCATGAATTATTAATTTTGATTCACAGAATCAAAATTACTAGAACTTCCTGAATAGATTTTACTATACAACAATCATTCTTCAAAGTTAGAAAGCCTTCTGTCTTTATTTTGCTGATGAGGCTACTGAGACGCAAGTATTTATTTTTAATGAAAATTGATAAATAAAAGGGGGAATTTAAAATCCAAGTCTCATACAGGTCTATGTACCATACTATTTTCTACATACCTGAAAATTCAACTTTAGTTATATTTTCTTTATACCCTTTGATATGGTTAGGCTGTGTCCCCACCCAAATCTCAACTTGAATTATAGCTTCCATAATTTCCATGTATCATGGAAGGGACCTGGTGGGAGGTAATTAAATCATGGGGGCGATTCTTTCCTATGCCGCTCTCATGATAGTGAATAAGTCTCACAAGATCTGATGGTTTTATAAAGGGCAGTTCCCCTGCACACACTCTGTTGCCTGCTGCCGTGTAAGACATGACTTTGCTCCTCCTTGACCTTCCACCGTGATTGTGAGGCCTCCCCACCAATGTGAGACTGCAAGTCAATTAAACCTCTTTCTTTTGTAAAGTACCCAGTCTTGAGTATGTCTTCATTAGCAGCGTGAGAACAGAATATACCCTCTCATGCATCAAATGGTGAATATGGATTTGGCTGCCCCTTACCAAGCAATTCAAGATGGGTACCTAAGAAAAATCAGTGTATAAGTTACAAATGTAAAATTCTAGGTAAAGACTACAAATAATAACAATTAGAGGAGAAAAAAATGAAATGTACTAGTATTTTTATATCACAGAGATAAAAGATCTTTAAAGTTTTTCTAAAATTTTATGCAGGAAACATCACAGATTTCATTTTATAATTTTGAAATGAAGAAATAATACATCTAATGTGTTCCCAACCCTCCCTATTAGTCATCCTCTATTTTACTACTATACTATTTCTTTGGCTCAGTATTTGTGATTTTCTAAAAGTACACTATTTATACATTTATTTATTTGCTTATTGTCTGTCTTTGCCTGAATTTTACCTTTTTCTAAAATTAAGTTATTTGTACATTTATTTATTATCTCTCTCACTTGTATGGAATTTTGTCTGCTTTGTTGACATCTGATGCCTAAGTAGTATCTGAAATATAGTAAGAATTCAATACATATTCTCTAAAAACAATTTAAAATATGAAAACATATACACATAATATGTGATATATATATTTGCTAGGTGAACGATGTTAATTTAACACACATACATATTTGCTAAAATTCTAACTAAATTTCTTCCTTTTAGCATTGCTACTTTTTCTAAGAATAATGAGCAACTCAGCCCTTCTTTTATTTGCAAGGTCTCCACATTTTCTAGAACATCAATAGAAAGGTTTAAACCTTAAAATATTAAAATGATGGCCTATGGAATGTCTGGATATATCTGCATTTTTCATGATAATCCTAGTAAAAACATGTATTTTATTAATATTTAACCTTTGAAGCAGGTGTGTATTTAAATATTTTAATATATTCGCTGATTATCTTAAGAAGGCACACATGTCAAATTTTAATGCATTATATCTTATTCGGAAATAACAGGAATCTTGGCCTTGTAGTATTGCTAGACCTATAAAATAAAGTATGATCTCATGAGAAAATGGGGACAAATGTAGATGTCTGGTGGAAAGAAAACAAATGCAAGCACAAAGACTAAGTTGAAATATAATAGAGTATTGATACAAGGGAAGAACTTAACTAAAAAGTAAAATAAAACCTTAGAAAACTCTTCAAATGCTGCCACAAAAGCACAATGCTCGCCTTAGTGTTTGTCTAGACTCCATTTATACCTTTATTATTTCCAATTGGGTATACACCAAACATCAAGTCAAAATTATTTTCTGAACACTGGTTCCAGATTATGTCAGATGTTGTGGGTTGTACTTTTAAAATAAACTATAAAATATATAGTAGCCATCTGTCTTAGAATTTTCTGTTCCTTGTTTTTTTAAGGCATAACAGGCAAAAATAGAATCAAATAAAGGAAAACAGCTGTGATGGAAAACTTTGCAAGGCTGATAATTTCACTCTTAAACTAGCACTGAAATTAACACATTAGTCATTTTGAAAAACCAGATTTGTCTTTTTATTAAAAACTGGTGTCTGGGTGCGGGTGGCTCATGCCTGTAATCCCAGCACTTTGGGCAGCTGAAGCAGGTGGATCACGAGGTCAGGAGTTCGAGACCAGGCTGGCCAACATGGCGAAACCCCATCTCTACTAAAAATACAAAAATTAGCCAGCGTGGTGGTGCTGGCCTGTAATCTCAGCTACTCAGGAGACTGAGGCAGGACAATCGTTTGAACTTGGGAAGCAGAGGTTGCAGTGAGCTGAGATCATGCTATTGCACTCCAGCCTGGGCGACAAGAGCAAGACTTCGTCTCAAAAACAAACAAACAAACAAAAAAAACTGGTTTGGATTTTTATAATTAAATTGTCTAATTACATTAGCACCACTTTGTCTCAAGTCATTAATGCTGAAGGAGAATATTATAAAATCTTAAATTTGCACAAACTAAAAATGGCATGCCATTGACATTTATATAACATACTGATATAAAGATTTTACCTAAACTTACCATTTGAAATGGCAGTGAGTTGGCAGCTGCATGAATTAGACTCTCACGATTTCCCATTTGAAATGTGTTTATATGATAGAAATAATATTTCCAGAATTTTGAAGAAATTTCTATAAATGATAAGGTTAATCTAACTTATCATCTGTAAAGTCTAACAAAAAAATCTAACTTATAAAAAATATTTTCCTACCTGAAAAAATACAAGAAGAAAAATGTTATCTATTCATTGTCTCTTCATGGATTCAGAACTCTTAGGACTGTATCTTTGCTCCAGATCATTGTTACTCCCCACCCTGTCACATAAAACTCACTCTGAGAAACGCATGCAATTTTGCCACACTCTCCACTGCTTTCCTGTTACAGTAATCACAGCCTTTGCCATCTGGCCCACAGTCTTCCTCTCCATGTTAAACCCTGCCATCTGTCGGAAGGACTGCAGTGTCCCATCACTAACCCATCCTTCTCAGTTCCTTGGCCTGCTGGTTCCAAGTCACCTTTACTTCCACATGCAACTCAACCACCCGCAACTAGATTGATACCTCAGTCTTAGCTACAACCACAAATGCTCCACCTCCAAAAACACTCCAGGTGGTTTCCTGCTTTCTCACCATACTGCTTCTCCTTCCCACTTGCTTATTCAGCTACTCCTACAACGGTGCTTTGGCCTCATTAGATCACCAGACAGTTGATGGCTCTCCCAATATGTAAGAACTCTTCCTTCTTTACTTTTTTGTTATCCAAGTACAATCATGCACCCCATAATGATGCTTCATTCAACCATGGACTTCCCAAAAAATAACGTAGCTGAAAAATTCCTTTCGCCTGGTGACATCATAGATGTCCTAATGTCACAGCACAACGTATTACTCATGTGTCTGCGGTGATGTTGGTATAAACAAACCTATTGTGCTACCAGTTGTATAAAAGTGTAACACATACAATTATCTACAGTATATAATTCTTGATAATAAGCAACAATGTTACTGGTTTATATATTTACTACACCTTTATCATTATTTTAGAGTATACTCTTTCTACTTACTAAAAAGAAATTTAACTGTAAAACAGGCAGGTCCTTCAGGAGGTATCCAGAAGAAGGCACTGTTATCACAGGAGATGACAGCTCCATGTGTGTTATTACCCCTGAAGACCTTCCAGTGGGACAAGATGTGGAGGTGGAGATGGTGATATTGATGATCCTGGCCCTGCGTAGGCCTAGGCTAGTGTATGTGTTTGTGTCTTGGTTATTAACAAAAGAGCTTAAAAAGTAAAAAATAAAAATAAAAGTAAACATTTTCAAATACAAAAAAAGTTTATAGAAAATGATATAAAGAAGGAAAATATTTTTTGTTCAGCTGTACCTGTGTTTGTGTTTTAAGTCTTACTACAAAGGAATCAAAACATTAAAAAAATGAAAAGTTTATAAAGTTAAAAAGTTACAGTAAACTAGGGTTAATTTATTATTGAAGAAAGAAGAATATTTTTTATAGGTTTAGTACAGCCGAAGGGCACAGTGTTGATAAAGTCTACAGTAGTGTACAGTAATGCCCTAGGCCTTCACATTCCCTCACCACTCACTCACTGACTCACCTGCAATAACTTCCATTCCTGCAAGCTCCATTCGTAGTAAGTAACCTCTCCAGGTATACCATTTTTAATCTTTTATATCATACTTTTACTAAACCATTTTTATGTTTAGATTCACAAATACTTATCATTGTGTTATAATTAATTGCCTATATTTAGTACAGTAACATGCTGTATAGATTTGTAGCCTAGGAGGAATAGGCTATACTGTGTAGCCCAAGTGTATAGTAGACTATACTGTCCAGGTGTGTATAAGTACACTATGGCATTCTCACAACGACAAAATTGCCTAACAACATATTTCATATGTAGCAATTATAGCCAGCTGGAAGATATAAAGGGGAAAAATACTTCATTTAAAATATCAATAAAAGAGATTTAAAAAAAATACTTAGTATGTAATTTAGCATTAGGTCCAGCTTCATACAACAACAACAAATAAACAGTGGCTTAGTCACACAGTGGTTATTGTTTCATGTGAAATGTCCCGTGGTCCAATCCAAGACAGGAATAGATGTTTTACATATCCCAGGGGTGCCAGGCTCCCTCCAGCTTTCTGCTCTGGCCCTGGTGTCCCATTCTTACTACAAGAAAGAAGAAAGAGAAGAGCATGCCCCTCGCTTGGAAAACACTCCTCAAAATTGCACATACCACTTCCACTCATATCCCACTGTCTAAAACTCAGTCATATGGCCAGGCTTAACTGCAAGAGAGGCTGTGAAATGTAGCCTTTGTTCTGAGTGGTCATACGCCAGCTAAGATTCAGAGCTTCCACTATCGGGAAAGAAAAGGGGAAATGATACTGGGAGACAACTAGCAGTCTCTGTCACACCTAAGAATAAGTTTAAGAAAAAAAATATGTAATATCTATAAGAAATACTTTCAAACTGCCTGTTAGATACAAAATAGGATCTAAACAAATACAAAGCACACCACATTCTTGGGTGAGCAAAGAGAGATTTTGCCTTGATAATCCACAAAAAAAGGTCTAATAGCCATGAATTTGGATGCCTCAAGTAGTATAGCATAAATTTGTATAAAACAAAACTGTTAAGTATATGTGTAAATGGCAGAAAGACAATTATAGTAATAGATCTCAACCTTTGGCAGATCAAACAAAAATAAGGCCATAATTATTTTTAACAGTAGAATAAATAACATCCAGATGGCAGCTAAAGTCATCTTTCTGTCAAAAATAAAATTGGCAAATGCCCCCATTACTTGTCTGGCAAAGGTTCAATGGCCTCCCCAAAACTTCTGGGAATCTCCATGTCTTTCATTCTTGAGATTCCCTCCAGCCTTGTCCCTGCCCTCTGAATCTCATTAGTTCTTGCCTCCTGTCTCATTCCCCTTTATACATTCCGCATAGACCCAGATGCGGGACACAGACCCTTTTCTTCATCTAGCTAACAACAGCTCACAAAGGCCTTTTTTGTTTATAGTCAAGTTAACTGAAAGTTTGGGGCAGTAGAGTGGGATGACAGCCCTGACAAGCAAACTGCTTATAAGCACACACAGGCAGACTATTTTCAGAAGTCTTTAGGCTTTGGCTACCACACTGCAACAAATTTCTCCCTCAAATTCCTAGTAAATCTAGCTTCTTGCCTTGTTACCTGCTTCCTGCTTGCCTTAAGAATTCTGTCCTAACATTTCCCTATTTCTCTGTTTTTCAGGTCTACCCCATTCTGCATCATCTCAGAAAATAAATTTTGCTTATTTTTTTAAATATTAGAGATAACTCCAACAGGTAGCATGGGTGAAACATATTGGGGGGCTACAATATCACCATAATTTCACTCAGACTCCATAGAGTCATGCAAAATAAATATATACTCAATAGTGCACTGCAGCCAGCTCATAGTTGCTCATAAGAGTGGATTATAATATCTCTTCCCTACTCTCCATGCAGTAACTTCACATCAGTAGGTTGAAATCCTCATATTGAAAGTATTTACAACATAGAAGCTGGCAAACACTCCGAATATCAGTGATTTTTTGTTTTGGCTAGGTTTGGGATTGAGGTTTTTTTTGCGGTTTTTAGTGAGCTGTTTGTTTGAGGAGCCTGCTTACCAGCACAACACTGCCTAAATCCTAAGAAAACTGTGTTTAATGTGCAAATGAAGATTCAAGTCTGTTAACTCATGTTCCTGCCACACGAGCCAGCTAAACCCTCCAAGGCAGTGATAAGAAGAGGGAGAAGACTCTAAGCAAAAGATGACTCCATCACTCGGATCCACAGAGACCACAGGAACATGACACTCTGCCTATTCTAGTCCATGTAACAACATTGATTAAAACAGTTGAGGCAACACGGATATGAAACTGTATAATTTAGTAACTTAAAATCGTTAATTACACTGAACTGACCAGAGTTCAATCCTGAGAACAAAGAAACACTATTATACCACATTCTTCCTTTTTTTTTTTTTTTTTTGGAGACGGAGTTTCGCTCTTGTTGCCCAACAACAAGAGCTGGAGTGCAATGGCATGATCTCAGCTCACTGTAACCTCCGCGTCTCAGTTTCAAGCAATTCTACTGCCTCAGCCTCCCAAACAGGTGGGATTACAGGCACCTGCCACCACACCCAGCTAACTTTTGTATTTTTAGTAGAGACGGGGTTTCACCATGTTGGCCAAGCTGGTCTCGAACTCCTGACCTCAGGTGATCCGCCCACCTTAGCCTCCCAAAATGCTGGGATTATAGGTGTGAGCCACCACGCCCAGCCTATTATACCACATTCTAAAGTGAGGCACTAGGGATCAATATCTCTCACATGATCTAGTGAAAAGCAACCCCCAGCCTGTGCCCATCCCTGCCCATCCCAACCAGCTATATAAGGAGAAGACTGGAGGGAGAGAGGGAAGAGTTGCTATAGTCACTGGGCTTGTGTGGACTATAGTGTTCATGGAAAAAGGTACTACCCAGCCCTTAAGCCAAGGTGGCAGGAAGGGATTTCACGATTACTGAATGGGATTTGACAATTACTGAATATAATTTCTTACTGCCTTCAAGATGAGCGACTGCCTTGCATTTGGAGAAAGACTATACTATCTATCTGCTAGGACTTGCTGACCATTCCCTATGAATTAAAGAGAGATGATGGCACACTAAGAAAGAGGAAGACAGTGCAGCAGCCAAGTTAACATTTGCAATGGTAACGGTGTGTGAGTTTCTTATAGGTCCAAGGACACCAGAAAAGGAGCTAGTCTTGAGTCCTTTTTGCCAGTTCCTCATCCTCCAGGCAAAGGGGCTCCAGCAGGGGGAAGCTGTGGGATCCACCTCTGTGGATAGGAGCTGAGTAGAAGGAATTACAAGTACTTGTGCCAAAGAAGATGCTCCTTGCAACAAAACTGAGCCATAGGAAATTCTCACAGGACAAGGCAAAAAACTCACATACACCTACCATAAGAACAACTCTTTCAATGCCTGCACACAAAGATGCCATCAGGAGAAGCCTGTCAAGATTATTAGCAGAAGAGCAACATAAACCTGCATGAGCCAACAAAGGAAGAAGCACAAATACCCCTGGGTAAAGCAGATTGGCACTCTGGCACTTTCTTTCTTACTGTTGTCCCCAAACACAGAAGTTAGAGTCTGGATGAGGGGTAAAAGTGAGGGAGCACAAGAACAGGCCAAGTTAATCTCCCCACTCAAAAACCCTTGAAATATGGCATTAAGTCATGACGTGACATGGGAACGCTTTAGAGCAAGAATGAAAGGGGAACTTTAAACTTGATTGCGTTGAGTTTTTAAATCTAAGAGTGTTCAAAGGTCCTAAATCTGTCTACAAGGTCCTTAAAAGAAAGAAATAGAGGATTTGATAAATATCGAAAGCAGTGATTAGAGAAACGTAAAAAATTTCATGTTTATATTCCACACAGTTGAGATCCACTTCTTTAAAAACACAGCTTATTTGGATTTACGCAAAACAGAAACTCAAACAAAACTTGCTTCCTTTGTTTCTTTTCTTCTCTCCTCCCAGTTCCCTGTCAGTGCTCCCTCAGGGAAGTCTAATATGACATGGCTCCCTATGGGTTGATACTGGCTTATGCTGCTCTTCTAGCTAATCCTGACAGTCTGTTGATGGTGACATCTCCTGTGAAAGGCACTGCAAGAGGTAAACTCTTGCCAAGGGTACCTGTTAGTGCTTCACCCTAGCCTGGGCCTCAGCTCTCTGGCATGGCAGATCAAGCCGGTACTTCCAGATCCTTTCATTGGCATGTCTTTGTATAATGGTCATTGTAGTGTCTTAGTTCATGTGTGCTGCTATAACAAAATACCTAAGACTGGGTAATTTATAAAAAGATAGAAGTGTGCTTCTCAGAGTTTTGGAGGATGTAAGTTCAAGATCAAGGCACTGACATTTGGAATCTGGGGAAGTACTCCTTGTTGGTCCTCACATGGCCAACAGCAAAAGGGTAAAAAGGGCCAAACTCGCCCCCTTTTATAAGAACACCTAATCACATTCACGAGGGCAGAGACCTCATGACTTAATCACCAACCCACAGGTTCCACCTCTTAATACTACCATGGGAATTAAGTTTCAACATGAATTTGGGGGAGGACACCATCATTCAAACCGTAGCATATGGTAAGTGGTTTGGCATCTTAGGCTATTTCTCATGTGTCACTTATGCAATCATTCCTTGATGATAAATCCAATGTTAGCTGATTTACTTCCAAGTCTGTGCAAAAGATGTTATATACTGTTGCAGTAATGCAAAGAACCAAATATTTGTTTTCTACAATAAACACAAGTTGGTACTAACTGGTTTATCTTTTTTCATTCACTTTCCTTGTACTTACAGTCCTGTAGGTTTTTTTTAAACTCAAAAATTGTTTCCCTCTAATTGCAGGCTACTTATTTTTAAAATATTATTTAAACTTAAATACATATTATTGCAAACTTTACTTTTCATCGTTTTACTTTTCAACAAAGACAAGGTCTCTAATCTCTCCCTCCACTCAAATTGCCACTCTCAAACCTCACTATGTATTTGCGCAGTATTAGCTCTCTACAAGTCCAAAGCTTGGATTATATGTTTTGATAAGCAAATGGCTCAACACTTTGAGTTGAACACAGAAGAACTGATAGAAACTTTGAAAGTTCAGCCTTTCTTCTCTCCCACCTACACCAATCTCTTTTCCCAATAAAATGAATAACATCATTCTTGCCCTCCCTCAGAAAACTAAAAGAGTTACAATTGTTTTATTTTTTTAAATAAACCCCCCCCTCCAATATAAGTAGGCATATTGGAGGATGCAAACGAAGAAGTAATAGGCCAAATTCACTCAGTCAACACAGCTAAGTTTGAGGAGGTATATCCATATAATCTGTTTGTTTGTTTGTTTGTTTGTTTGTTTGTTTGTTTGTGAAGGAGTCTTGTTCTGTTGCCCAGGCTGGAGTGCAGTGGCTTGATCTCCACTCACTGCAACCTCTACCTCCCAGGTTCAAGGGATTCTCCTACCTCAGCCCCCTGAGTAGCTGGAATTACAGGCACACGCCACCACGCCCAGCTAATTTTTGTATTTTTAGTAGAGACAGGGTTTCACCATGCTGGTCAGGATGGTCTTGAATTCCTGACCTCGTGATCCACCCACCTCGGCCTCCCAAAGTGCTAGGATTATAGGCGTGAGCCACCGTGCCCGGCTCGTATAGTCATTTTTAAAAAATTTTTTGGATTTGTGTCTTCAGGCCAAATATGTGCTCTTCCTGTTACTTCATTTACACCCCTCTTTATTGAATGACATCTGGCTGTTGAGCACTTTCATGTCAATGTCTTGACTTCTGAAGGTGTTTGGATTGACCTGAAACAAATATTGAATGTATAGATGCATATATATCTATGTCTTCCACTAACAGGAAATATGTCTTCTTTTCAAACAATCATAAAACATTTGTAAATATTGTTTCAAGAATGGACAAACAAATCAACAGAACAATAGAGACCATCTTAAGGCCAAAAAACTAAATGAAACCATTTTATATATAAATGTGTATATATTTGTATATATGTATATATATAATATAAATATATTTGTATAAAATATATTTATGTTATATATACATATATGCATATATAATATAAATATATATACATTAATAAAATATATAAATAAATACATATTATATATGAATTATATATAATTAATATATAATATATTAAATTATAATTAAACTATATTATATATTAATTATATGTAATTTATATAAATAATAATATATAAATAAAATATATATACATATATACATGAATGAATCATTACAAACTAATGCATGCAGATGAATTATCCAAATGTTCTGAGGAAATTATACTTTTGAGGAACAGATTAAGTTGGGTTGCAATTTTATAATGCCATCCATGAAAATAAATTTAATAAAAAAATAAAAGCAGAAAACAAATGTAAATTGGCAACTGTTTAACTGATCTCAGAATTATCAGAATGGATAAGAGCTTTCTAAACTGGGAAAAAAATGAAATTCCTCATTAGGAAATTCTAAACTTACCTATGTAAAATTTGAAGATCTCTGAAGAGCAAAGCCTCTGCAGAAAATTGTAAGACAATTCAAACTGAGAATATTATTTATATCCATGCTGACTGATATTTAATAATATTTTCTATATTAAAAACTTACTCAAACTCATAAAGGAGACACTAAAACTTAGACTGAAAATAGACATGAATACAAAATTCACAGAAGATGGCATATAAATTGTTAATAAGATATGAAATAAAATATTCAAGTTATTAATAAATAGAGATACCAGTTAAAACAGACAATACGATGTTTTCTAAGTTGTCCTTTTTTAAAAGATAATATTTAGTGCTGCCATGAGTGTATTGAGAAAAGTCTCTCACACACACCTGGTGGGAAAGATAAACTGGTATAAACTTTCTGGAAAATAATCAGACAACATGAACAAAAATTAACAAATATATTGCTATTTAACCCAAAGGAAATAGGCAGAAATAAGAATAAAGATGTATATTGAAAGAATTTCATAATAGGTTGTAAATAAAAACAAATATTGGATACAACCTAACTTTGAATAATAGAAAAATAATTAAACAAATAATTTTTGAAGAATTTGCATGTGATTAACACGCAAATGTTTTAATGTAACATTAGGTGGAAAAGTATATGTATTCATATATTTCAACTCAGACAAATTCTAAACCACATTAAAAAACACAAAGAAAATAAAACAATGTAATTAACTACCTTAATTATATTTAGGTAGTACAATTACAAAAGTTGTACTTTCTCCTAAAAATGGCTCAATATTTTCTAAATTTTGTAATGCACATGTATTATTAAAAGTTTTTAAAAGTACTCTTTGAGCACTGACTATATTTTTTAATAGTTTGGAAATATCTCTTGAAAACACTTAAAATATAGCTTTATATCACAATGAGCCTGGCACTGCTGTCACAGCACAGAGTTCAGATCTGAAGTATCTATTGCAAGACTGTTAGAGACAGGCAGAAGGGCAATGAATTTTCCTGCACCTGAGAAGCACACAGTCTAGCAAAGACACAGACAAGGAAGTCGACTACTAGAATAGAAACTGCTAAATGCTATAACTGAGACACTCAGGTGGAAGCACAGTCAAAAAACAGTTTAATTCAACAGCGAAGACATGGAATCAACCTAAATGCCCATCAGTGATAAACTGATGTGGTATGTATACACCATGGAATACTATGCAGCCATAAAAAAGAATGAGATCATGTCCTTTGCAGGGCTGGAGGCTATTATTCTCAGCAAACTAATACAAAAACAAAAACCAAAATTCCACATGTTCTACTTATAAGTGGGACCTAAATGATGAGAACACATGGACACATAGAAGGGGACAACACTCACTGGGGTCTATCAGAGGGTGGAGGGTGGGAGCAAGAAGAGGATCAGGAAAAATAACTAATGGGTACTAGGTTGCATACCTGGGTGATGAAATAATCTGTACAACAAACCACCATGACACAAGTTTACCTATGTAACAAACCTGCACATGTACCCCTGAACTTAATAGAAGTTTTTTTTTTACATGAATTCACCCCAGAGGAAGGAGGGTGCATGACTGGAAAAATTTCCGAGGAGAAGTTAACATCTGATCTGACTCGTTCTTCTCTTCTCCCCCCTCACTCTTTCTTTTCTTCTCAAAGTAGGTTAGAGACAGAGGAGGCACAGTAAAGAGATAGAGCTTTTAAAATAGGGAAACAAAGTCATGTTATGAGGGGTTGTTAAAATCAGCTGGAGTAGGGATTATTTATTTTTATTATCTCAACTCTGAGAACTCTGAAAATCTAAGGCCCCTTCCTGATACATAGAGGGGGGAAATACCACCCTGATAGAACTAGAAATGGGAAGTGTTGAGGATTCTGCTGTGTCTCAGGCATGGAATTTAGATCCTGGGGGCGGGATGTAGCAGAGAGAGATTCTTCAAGAAAAGACAAGCTGCACAGCTGCAAGGAGTGAATTGTGAGACTGACAACTTCCAGAAGTCACTCTTTTCCGGGAGCAGGAGCTAGCCAATGACTGAACAGTGATTCACAGGGCCGGCTATTTCCACCCAATGTGTACTCCTCTGGAGAGCAGTCATGGCTCCTGACCTCCCTGTTGGGCTCCATCAGATGGCATCGCAATCTGATGATTTCCCCACCCATTTCTGCGTTCTTCACTCTTGCACTCCTACTCAGTCTCTATATTTGCTTCTCAGAGAACCCAATGATCACAGGCAAGGTAAGTCCAAAAAGTCCAGAGAAGTGCAGGCAAAGAAGAGAAGAGAAAAGAAACAGAACCAGAGAAAAAAAGAGAAATGTTGGCCTCTCATGAGATGAACTTGGCCAATAGTAATATAATTTTCTTTCTGGAAATGTTATGTTAGCTGTTGCAGGCTTTACTAAGAAGCACACAAGAGACATGCAGTGAGGTTACAGCACGTATAGCAATCAGGAGGAATGAGACCTTTAGAGAACTGGCACCACCTGGTTGGTTTGGATGAATAAAAAAAAATGTACATTGGGACACAACAAAAATTTGGCCTGGAGACTTAGGAGCCAGACCATGGGGAATGCTGTATCCTATGTCAAGTAAATGAGTACATTTCCTTACAACTTTCTTAAATGCCTTCTTTTTGACCTCCATTATTACTATAATCCTATGCAAGGACAATGGAATTACATAAAAATCCTCAGTGAAATTTATTAATACAATACTTTCAGTGAATATTGGAAACAAAATCAAATATCAGAGAGGAAGCATGCATTTTCCTGCTAGAACATCCACTTATCCTTGTGTCTGGCAGGCTATTAACTCCAATTATAACAAAACAGGTGGCAATTTGAGCACATATAAGATTTAGTTAAGATATGTGTTTAAAGGTTTTTATCACCAGTGTGCTCTCAGACGATAACAATTTCTCTGTGATGTGGTGTCTCCCAGATCAAAGTTTCCAGATGTCTTTACAAAACTGTAGGGAACCATCTATCCAGAGAGCTCTTCTTTCCTGTGACATAAGTTTGCCTTTCAGACATGTCACAATCACTTAACCATGACTCACAACCACTTTGTGTGGACACCTACATGAAATTGATTGTTGTTTACAAGGCTTTGGAACTAGGCTAGTTCCTCGTGGCCTTTGCTTCACTGTTATCTATCACACAATGACAAGACAGTAAGTACATAAATTCATTTTGTTTCAAGTGTTACAAAGAACAAAAGAGGCCAAATAGCCCATAAGGTAGTCTCCTAAATGGATATTTTCCGGTGATATCCCATGGCCCTCACTGGTTGACACTGCCCTATAAAACATTCCTACAGCAGATGTCTGTGTCTGTGGTAATGACCCAGATGGGCTCAGGTTGAGAATTGCTTGAAAGCAGGGGTTTTGTCTTATTATTCTTTGCGTCTGTAGTGCCTAGAGTGACCAGTAGATGGAAATTGTTGGTTCGCATTTCAGCTTTGCAAATCAGGAATATGTTCTCTAAAAGCTGTGACATTGCTCCAGTGATTGAGCTAGAAATGGAACTAAAACGGAGGGAAAGAGCTTAGTAAATTTTTTCTTAAACTTTTTTTATTAAAGTCCTTTATGAAGTAAATGGCCCATGAGAATCCATCCTCAGTAACTTTCTCTCATCCAGTCGTACGTGGCTGACTTCTGCAAAGCCTGATGTGCCATTGCCTAGCAAGAACTCCACAAAGTATGGGGAGCTACCAGCTGTAAATATACTGCACTTCCCTAGAATTAATTTCTATGACACTAATGAAAGTTTTGCAATTGTGCATATTGACTACCAAACAGACTTAAAATGTCAACTTTTTATTTATGTTCTATCAAAGCAATTCTATAGCATGCTTTTTTGCCTCCATCAGGATTATCATAAATTAAACCAGTATGAATGATGAAAAATAAATTTTAAAAAAGAAAACTGATATGAATAAGCTTAAACAAAAGTGCCAATAACAAAACAACGAAAAATGTAAATGCCACTTGATTCGCCTTTCCTTCGTGTCCCTGCCCTCTCCTTTTCTTTTCCCCAAAGGGTTCTATAAACTATACTGAACAGACTAATGCTCTAAGGCCCTGACTCCTGCTCCTCGGGAGCTTGATCATAAATTACGGTTGTACAAATTTGTAAAAGGCTTCATCTGTAAGCTTAGCTAAAGCACACATGTAAAAAAATTTTTAAATAACAATAATTTTTTAGAAGGAGATATAAACAAATGAAGAACTTAACCATCTAAGGAAATCACAAAATGAATAGATTGTTCAATATTTTCCTTCACATTCCTTAACAACATTACAGTTGACCAGAAACATGTATGCTATCATTCACCAAAATGCAGAACGGAAATCTAGTTTAATTTGAAGCAGACAGGTTAAAAGGCAACGCTTTATTGGAGAAATTTTCATGTTAAAATTAATAAGAATTGGATAAAAATTGTGAAATAAACTAGCTTGCCTTTGACATCTTCCCCAATTCAAGGAAGAACATTTTCCTACCATTTGTATTTCCTCTTGCCCCTCTCACCGCCTAGATTTATTTTTTGTTCCCTTAATGAATTATTATGTTTGTATTACTAAAATAATATCTATTTTTAGGCAGCATTTAACCTCAGAAAGTGCTGTGTATCTCTTTATGATATCACCTACCAAATATATTGGCATGTTTATATAACTCTCTCTCCAAAATATAAATTCTTCCAGCCAGAAACTTTGAGCCTTCAGTGCCTTCTTAGTAAATGGCATATATTAGGGACTCAATATTTATTTCTTATTAAAATAAACAAAACATATCCACAAGTTCACCACTCAGAGTTATTTTCTTTTATATTTTTCTATATTTATTTCCAATGTTTTTATTTTATTGTTTCTGGATCATTTTTTAGGTTGGAAAATAATACAAAAAAATTTTTTTGGATAAGAAAATTCTAACATTCAAAAAGCCCTTCAGGATCAAACAAATAAATCTTAAGTGGTAGAAATGAAGATGGATGTTCCAGAAAGCCAGAGAACATACCATCATTGCCCACATTATGATACCTGCTACTCCACTTCTTTGTAATGTTAACCCTCTGCTGTTAAGGAACCAACATTTTTTCTATAAGAGATAAAAGATATACCAATAAAATAAACTCAGGAAGAACCATGAAATATTAAATATAAGTTGGAAATTTCAGTGTGAGCTCACCATTTTGTTGTATGGTTTTCTAGCTCTAATTTCTAATGAATATAGAAATGATGATATCTCTGTAGCAATGAGCACATCTTGTGCCCAGGTCTTGTATTCTAACCACCATTCTTCACTGAAAGAAACCACAGGAACTTAAAAAAATATTTATTTCATGTTTGAGTCTGGGAAAATACAAACTGAATTTGAGAAATCTTGTTGCACTAGAAAAAAATAGAAGTGCTCAAAGACTATTTAGGTTGTATTAATGATTTATTGCTACATAAGAAATTACTCCCAAACTTAGGGGCTTAAAACAATAAACATTTATTATCTCACAGTTCTGTGGATCAGAAATAGGAGAGTGGCTTAACTGGCTGGATCCTCTGACTCAGTCTGTAACAAGACTGCAATGAAGTTGTCAGGCAGGCTGCAGCTCTCTGCAGGCTCAACTGAAAGAGGATCTGCTTATAAGCTCACTCCCGGCTGTGGACAATATTTGCTTCCTCATGGCTGTTGGACTGAAAATTTAAGTTACTAATCAGCTATTGATCAAAGGCCTCTTTTATCTTCCAGCCACATGGACTTCCTCATAGGGAAGCTTACAATATGGCACCTCACTTTCATTATGGAGAGCAAGCAAGAGAGTAAGAGAAGGTAAGCAAGACAGAAGCCACAGGCTTTTTATGACCTAACATCAGACATTACATACTATTCACTTTTGCCCTGTCTTCTTTTGGTAGAAGTGAATCACTAGGTCCAGCCCACCCTCAAGGAGAGGAATTATGTAAGGTCATGAATACCAAGAAGCAGGGATTATCCAAAACCATTCTAGAGGCTGCCTATCACATGGATCATGTCAAAGATCAAAGGAACAGCTTGAATGGGCTCCAATTGAGTTGACCATTTAGGGAAATTTGACCATCTATAAGAATAAATATAATAATTTATTATGATATAATAGATTTTAAAAATCCATGAGTCCATACTGATTTTTAAAAAGTGGGAAGCAGAGAATTACATTCTTATTTATAAAAGAATTCCAGCTAATAAATGTAGAAGAAATGATAGAATTAGAGAATCATCATTTTATAACCCCCAAATGTAATAAAGGATTCAGACAAGGATTACTGCAAGGAGTTAAAACCATTAGGTCGAATGTAGTTGTGTAGCATGATAGTCATATAGTGCCAAAATATCATCTAACATTGAATATTAATTAACAATAGCAAAAATGTTTTGCCTTTTTCAGTAGCAATTCTGACGATTAGCACTCAGCCAATCACTAATAGTTGGATAACTTTATATTATATGCTCCCTGATATAATGTAATACAAAGTATACATCATCTGTAAAATCTTTTTGTCACAAATGTTTAAATTTAATCTTATCAGGTTTTTCAACAAACATTCAATTTACAGGAAATATAGGAGATGGAAGAATAAGTTAAATAATGTCATGAGGAAGTAATCAGAAAAATCTAGAATATGTGAAATTCTAAGAGAAAATTGTCATAGACTTCAAAATGCTCTGCCATGGAAAAAAAAAATTTTTTAAATGAATGACTGTTCTAGATAAGACTAAAGAGCAATGAAAAACAAATGTAATATGTGAGCCCTGATTGGATTGTGCACAAAGTAAAAAAGAAATTGTTTAAGTTTCAGGAGGATGCAATTCAAAGACAGCGCAGACACATAGTACTAAGATATAAAATAAGGTTTATTGAGTGAAAGACTTGAAGCAGAGTGCATGCATTCCCCATAACTCTTATAATCTCACAATTTAGACTGGACATACATGACCTCTGAGTGCCTGGCTAATGTTCCAGTAGAGAGAGTCCCTTTCTCATTGATAAGGTTCTATATATTTATAGGATGTAGCCCAGGCAGGGATAATCTATGCAACCATGCAACACTGGAAGCTCATAGGTTGAGAAATGGTCTCAGTAGAAATACGAAACCTCCAGAGTCCAGTGGCTGGTATTAGCCTCTTATTCCATGGAGCTAACTTAGACTTGCTGAGAAGTGCTCTGTAAAGCTATTGAAAAGAACCCCCAAGACCATCATGGAACTCTTATCAGGGAAAAATTGGAGAAATTTTAAAATGAACTGGATAGTAAATAAATTGCTGAATGACTGTACATTTCCTTAAGTGTGATAATGATTTTGTGGTTAGGTATGAAAAAGCCCTTTGTTCTTAGAAAGTACATGATGAAGGATCCAGAAGTCAAGTGTCATGATGTCTGCAACTTATTTTCAAATAGCTTTTTTTTTAAGTAAATGTGTGCCAAGAGAGACAAAGGAAATTTGGAGTTTTCTTTTAAATAAAACGTTAGGGAGAAATGAGGACTGTCTTGACTCTTCAGTAAAGTAGAAGTAAATTTACAAACATTATGAAAATATGTTTTCTAGTTCTTCTCTGATTAAAAAACAACATAATGTAGACTGTCTCAGAGGCTAGACTGTTGGCTGCAAATAATTGACCTTTGGAAGCCAGATTAAATTATTCAAGACAATTTTGTTCCTAGAACAGTGAAAGGAGGACATGAAAAATAATATGCTCATGGGAAAAATTTATCTAGGTCCTTTTGAATCTCTTCTTGTGTCTAATTTAAAATTTATCTTTATACATGGTTGGCATATTGGCTATTTCATTGAGCAGACTGTGACACTGATCCAGCCAAATTGGAAACAAAATTTGTTGTCATTTAAAATTATTTCTCTTAACTATAATAATGTGTATTCCTTAATAAAATATCTGTTACTTTCTACTTATTGCTAAGCTATCATTTGTTAAAATACAGCTTTTTGTTAAACAACAGTAAGATGCTGACCCAAGAAACACATTAAGGGAATAAAAGAAAAATATTTCATTTGCTATAGTATTCTGGCCTCCATGAATAGTTCTCCCATACCCGAAATGAAAACAGATTTTATTGTCTTATCTACCTTCTCCACCATGACCTTCTTCTCCCTATTGTCCGGTAAATACCTGCTTCAATGGAATATTTGAGCTCTTTAAGAAATAAAAATTACATTTTTCTCTAATTCTTTCTCTGATATTCATGTATGATTTCCATCACCACTAAATCATAATAGTACCCAACACGGAAACTGGAAGAAGAAGGTTATTAGAATGAAATTTAATTATACACATGAAGCTCAGTAAGGTAGTACCAGACACCTGGAAAAGACACCTGCACTTATTTCTTCATGGTGAGAATTTTAATAAACCTAAAAGGCTGAACTCTGGGAAAAGGAAGATAGTTAAACAATTAATCTGCACAGCCTTTGAAGAATAGCAGGGCAAGTTTCCCTATGTAAGTTGACACACATAGAAAATTTGGATTTGTTTTAGACTGTTTAACACATCACTCTAAATTAATACAAAAATATATAAATTAACTATAAAACTTTAAATTAAAAGGCACAAATTAAAAATAATTTTTTCTTAAAATAATAGATGTTGGTGGAACAGAGACCTATTTTAACTACATCTCCAACACTGCACAAGCTTGTGTATGTTATTGAACATCTGCACTTGAGTTTCCCAATCTGTAAAACGTGTGATCTTCATTGTGTTATTGGGAAGAATAAGTAAATGCATGCATATAAAGTGCTTGGGACGCAGCAAACTTTCAACAAATGCCAGTTTTCTCCCAAACTACTTCCCCAAAATGATTCGCCACCCCTGTTTCTTTCTTCACAAAAATAATATGCTTTTTTTCCCTAGAACTCAGGGGATTTGCAGGAAAAAATAATATATTGACAATTATGATAAACAATTTGCCAATCACTTATTTAATTAAAATTGACTTACAAAATTAAATCTTGTTGCAAACATTATGGATATGACTTTTTTATTACCAAGAAAAAGAAAAGGGTTTGACTGAGATACACTTTTAGATCATAAAATTACAATACTGTTCAATTTGGGTTTTCTTTTCCTTTAAAAAGATTCTATTCCTTCAAATATAATGTACACAGTTTACATAAATCTAGTACAGCATTAATCTGATTAAAATTCTAGCATTTTTAATTATTATTCCCTGAAGAGATACTTGATCATAACACAATTAAATGGAAACAGGAACAAGATCAAGAAATTCAGTAAAGTGCATTGTGGGAAAATGAAGAGACCACTACCACAGTCTCATCAAACGAGGGTTTCTCCTTGAGGCAAATCATGCAAAAGGGTCTCAGAGGCCCTCACCTTCTGTTTACATCACACTAATCAAAGTCTCAAGTCACTGGGTTTACAACCTCCTTAAATCCCACATCTAATATTTCTAAATATAGATTTGACCCCATTCTTCAAAAGAAGACTCTTAAAATAAGTCTCAGTTCCTGAGGTGGTATGCCATTCTTTATTTTATCTCATCACTCTCTCTCAGTTTTTTTATCACTGTGTTGAAACAGTACACAGAATAACCAGTGTTATAAACTGATGTGAGTAGCAGTGACTGGGATATTTCTCTCCACTACTCATCTTTTTGTTTCCCACAGTATTGATACTCTCTTGACTCTATGACTTAAGATTGTTTTTAGATGATGGAGCTAAAAATAAATTCAATTTGGAGACAGCCAAGAGGTGCAAAACAAAGACAATGAAATTTAAAATATGCCTTTTAATGCTATTTGTCTAATCTTCACAGAGAATATGGGTGCTCTAATGTCTGCAATATGTACTTATGACTTAAGACAAATATGTTTGGAGTGTTAACTGTCTCACAGCTACTATCCTCAGAGATACATGCAAAAAAGAAAGAAATTAGAACAGTGCTTTGAAAGTATGCATTTCTCCCTAAAGACAGATGCAGTCTTATTGCATGAGTTTCCACATCCTCTGAAGAAAGAAGCAAGAAAAGTTGAATAAAAGTATTGCTTAAATTTTAAACCCATGAATTTGTCAATTTAAATTGCTGCTTTATTTCCAAGGGCATTTGGCAATTTACTTTTTGAATTGGCCACAAGCTGAATATGATCTCACCTTTCTCATAAAAGGATTCTGTTAAGCCTGAGAGAATATGGGTATGTGGCTCCCCTTAGTGGCCACCGAGAATATCAACATAGTTCAGAAATAAAAGTTGGGAAAAGTGATGCTTTGAATTATCTCCAGCAAAAGCTCATTGTCTGTCTTCTTCACCACCTGGCAACAGCTGGTATATATGTAAAAATGAGACAAAAAACAGATAGAGGTCAGATCCAGGAGGACTTCCCTTGTATAGAAAATCAATTTCAAGTAATGAATGTCCCAAGATAAAGTTTCCAAGAACTTCTGAAGCTTAAAAAACATGGCTTGACTTAAGGGAGAAGATAGAAGCAAAGCTTCACTCCATATACTGTTTCATTAATAGCTTCAGGTTTAGAAAAGTAGAATAAATACTACAACACCAGGGGATAGGCTAATAACAGAATATTCCCAACCTGACAAGTAATTTGATGGAAACAGACACAATGAAAAATGGTTATGTGCAGAATATATTCCAGCTGAGAGTCTTCAATACCAGCAAGTCCCAGAGGTTCTAGGCAGGCACTGAGACATTCACAGTATCAGAATTTCTGGGCCTTGGCGCAGGTTTCAACCGTGTCCCACATACAACATTGCCTTGGTTCCCTTGAGAGTTCAACCTTCATAGCAGCCACTAAATTCAAAGCATAACTTCTGAGAAAGGAAAATGCTTTGGAACAAAGATGGGAAGATAGATCTGCTTTCCAAATTTATAAACCTCTATATTTATCGGAACTAGTCAGGCCACAAGCACTATGCACAATAACTTATGGACACTGGTAACTGCTCAAGTAAGAGATGGGAGGGAGGCTTGGCCAATCCCACTCCTACCAACAGAGCTGACTCATCAATTCTGATACCTCATCCCACCTCTTAAATCAACCTCCCTAACAAATTCATGTGCAACCCTCTTCTTACCTTTGCTCCTTTTCTGATTTTTTTCTTCCTCCATTCTTTACTTTAACCTGGACTCTCTCCCTAATACAACCACCTTGTCCAAGTCACATGAACCCCACCTCCAAATACTGTTTTTTCTAGGTTAAGAGCTTGCTTCTTCTCTCTTGTCCTTTATTTCCCTTAATCATCCTCTAGTGAACTTTCTTCAGCCATCCGTTGTGACTAACATGTTAAGCAGGGTCTCTTAAGGGATTTTACCAAAGACACTCTGCTAAAAAGCATTCAAGTTGTAGAGCTTACAGCCCCACATGGTGTCACTATATAATGCGACACACCTCTCAGCTGGCAGACTGTTAAGATGTCTCTGAATTTTTCAGATACTGAAATTGAGGCTTAGAGCAAGTGTCTTGCCAACTGACAATTACATACAACTTGCTGCTTCTTAAGACAGAGTATTTCCCATTATTTAACAGTACCTCTAAAAGATAACAACACAGAAAAAGCTTTGAGGAAAGGGTTAGGTTTTTGGTACTCTTTGAATATCGTCACCCAAATAAAATCCACCTGACAACATATATTTGAATGTCAGTATTAGAGCAATCTACTTTTTAATTATAACTATTTTGTCCTTTACATTCTACCTTTTTTCTTCACTTCAATATAAATAATTACCCCTTTTTTGATAATGTCTTTTCCCTGGTTATTGTGTACGAATACAAAATACGTTCTCATTTTAAGGGTAATGTTTTCACCTGCCACCTGTCATTTAAAATTGCATCTGCAAAAACCAAGCCTTCCTTTTAGTTTTTTTATGTTTTGTTTTCCCAGTAAAGGTTAATTGCAGTCCTGCTTCCATAGCTTCCTCACTGCTGCAGAGTTAACCATGGGTTTGCTTCACTGGGAAAGGTTTATCAAAGGTCTGGAATCCAAAACAATGACAGCAATAAATACCAATTAGATCTAGGCCCTTTGCTCCTACTGCCTTCACAGGTTACAGCAGCAAACTCAGCTTTTGACTTTAGTAAGACTGGACCCTCCTAAAGCCATGGAAGAGGCTGGGCCTTGTTTTCAAGATCCCTTTTGGATCATAAGTTCTCCTTCCTGATTGAGATGATAACATGGAAACATTAATGAATAGTGTCCCTCCTCCCTACCTTCTCAAAACAGCTCTTAAATGTCTGCAATTATATTAGGTCTTCGTCGGTGAATTAGGAGTGTAAGTGATACATGAATCTGTCACCTACAATTTATTTTGTCATAGACTAACAATTTGAGAAACTGAAATTAGAACTTGATCTTAGGACAGAGAACATGCAAAGCAAAGTAAAAACTGTACATTCTTTCTATTAGGGAGAAATACATAATATGTTTCTTACCTATCTTGTATAGTTCCCTTTTTTAAACCATTGACTTTTTAAAATAGAAAAATGCAATTATAGCTATCAAAAAACATAAAGATATACAGATATAGAAACTAGTCTGTCACATGAGGAAGACTGGAGTCCCTTGAAAATATTTAGCTATTGAAGTAAACAGAAAAGTGCTAGTAATTTTACTAAAACATTGAAAAAGCAACACAAATACAAGCTACAGTGACACAAATGCCAGTTACTATGACTTTAGTGTTCTATGGCCAAACAATTAACAGTTATAAAACCAAATGCTTGTCTGTTTATTGTGGTTAACAAGTATCAAATCAAATTGTAACTTCTGAAAATAAAAGGGCTGTCACTGCAAATCTGGCTTTACAGGTTACTATCTCTATGGTGAAAAAAGATATAGCAATAAAATTTAAAATTCTTTAATCATTACCATCTCACCATCTTAATGAAACGTTTTTCATTTTTGCTTTAACGTTCCAGTCATTGTTCACCTGAATACACATTAATGTAGCCATCATTACATATTTTGTCCCAAATAGTATGGTCACAAACTTTTTGGTAGTTTTATTAAAGATTTTATTTTTTGGCCGAGCATGGTGGCTCACGCCTATGATCCCAGCACTTTGGGAGGCTGAGGCGGGCAGATTACTTGAGGTCAGCCATGGCCTGGCTAACATGACGAAACCCTGTCTCTACTAAAAATACAAAAATTAGCCAGGTGTGGTGGCATGCGCCTGTAATCTCAGCTACTCAGGAGGCTGAGGCAGGAGAATTGCTTGAACTCGGGAGGTGGAGGTTTCAGTGAGCTGAGATCACACCATTACACTCCAGACTGGGGAACAAGAGCAACTCAAAAAAAGAAAGAGAAAAAAGAAAAAGAAAAAGAAAGAAAGAAAAGAAAGATTTTATTTTTTTGACTCTCCGTTTGGAAGTCACAAGCTACAAGCAGAGAAATTAATGGGTTTGTCACTATAGGATTGTTAGGTGCTGAAACATACGTGTTTTTTGTGGCATGTTTTTAGCTCTATCTCCCAAAATATAGGTCCCATTGACCACGAAGGAGATCGTCAAACATCAAAACTAGTTAATTAGTCAGAATACAGGGGAAAAAAGCACCTAATAGGAAACTCTAAACTACAGGATGCCTGAAATTCTGGTGTTTGGATCCTGCTTACCTGCAGGAATGACTAATCAAGCACACTACTGCAGTTTGCTCCAAGCTGAACCTGATCTGAAAGACGGGAATTGGTTAACTATGAGATGCATTATTATTTTAGCTCTGATAAACCTGGCTAAAACAAACAAACAAAAAACTCTTGCAATTTATGTTTTTTCAGCACAGCAAATTCAATTCACCCAGGAGGTACAAATTGATAAGCAAGGATTCACAATATAAAAATAAGAAATTCATGTTTCTCATCTAATGAGTCTTATCCTCCACAAAGAAACAGTAACTGGAAACAAACATCTCTAGAATGCCGTCTATGTCTTGTTTCCTCTGATTGAGAGGGCAGCTCTATCATCTCATCCACCCAGTAAAGCAGCTGGCACACTGATCTCTGGACGTAACAGCTAAGTGGCAGTGATATATGGGCTGGGCTCTTTCTCGGTAGCTATGGAACAGCCACACATAGCTCATCTTTTTAAGAGAATGCCCAAATCATTAGCTCATATTTCATAAAATATTTCATTTTCATTATGTCCTTTAGTGTTCTACTACCATTATGAATGGAGACTTATAGGCAAAAAAAAGTTAGAAATAATCAACCTTAAACTAAAATGAGAACTGCTTTTTATGCATACCTATTTCAAACTATGTCTCTCACTTAGCTGTCAAGTTACTGGACCAAATTACACTTTTATTATTCAGATTATAGGAAGGTAAAAAATAAGAGAGTAAGAATCTGTATGTGGGTAGGTGGGAGATCTTTTTAAGGGCGCGTAAACTGAAGGTGAGCTCAACACTTTCTAATAAAGGGACAGAGAAATTGAGACTGAATTGCAAAGGAAATGCATATTAAAAATTGTAGAAAGGTTAGCATTCTTCTATCCCTTGTTTGAGGTGATAAGTAAATAGTAGAGTAATGCAGGAGCTAAGCAAAAAACTAAGAATTATTTGATGACAGTACAGTTTTGAGTGATTCCCCAAGGGCCTGACCATGACGTATATAGCCCAGAGAAGAAGAACACTGAACCCAAAGATTCCAAACACTCCACGTGGGAAATTGCATCAAAGACATTTCCCATATCAGCTGCCCTGAGAGTAAGGAATAGCATTCAAAATATTGTGATATTGGGGTTCTATGCAAATTTACTGCCCCTGTATTACCTATTAACTTGATCCTTGTTATATTAAACTTCTTTTTAAATGAACAATTCTTTGTAACAAGAATTCAAGAAATAGAAAAGTTATTTTAAAAATCTGTTCAGCAGTTACTGTCAAGAATGCAGAGAAATCGATGATGAGAAGATGACATTTCTGAGCTAAGAAATCTTAAGTCTTTCATGGTTCTGATACAAAAGAAACAATTTTATAGAATTTTACCTTTTATCTAAATGGTATGATATCCTTAAATTGTTTTCAATTAACTTTTGAATTACTACTGTAACCCTGAGGTTCCATTTATTGTATATTTGTCCACTTTGGTTAATATTATAAAATACAATGAATGTACTAAATTCTCTGTAAAAAATGTCAAACTATAATAAAAGTGTTTTAAATATTTTTAATATTGTTACTCTTATACTCAGATATAAATCATATGTCTGAAGAATATAAATGGTTTGTTCCACCTGATTCATCAACTTTTTTCTACTTATAGGAAAGATAAGAGAATGTACTAGTTAACATATGGACATATAATATCATATAATGGGCTGTCTATGTTCTAATTATATTCTACATTTAATAAGTCCCCCTCAAAATATCTGTTTACCTTTAAATGTACCATCTTTAAAATAAGGCTAATAATATTCACTTCACAGGAGTGTTTTGAACATGAAATGAGATTATGCTCACAGAGTGCCTTGAATAATTTCTAATACAAAATGACATATAATGCATCACATTGATTCCACTTTTCAAAGACAAAGTACTTTGGTCACAAAACAGCCGAATTTACTGCACATTTTCATATGACATCTTTTGTCGGCAACCCCAAATCCCTACAAACCCTTAATTAAGGGTTTTTCTTTTCCCTTTTGCCATTGGGTTTATTTGATTTTTTATGAGATATAAGATATGATATAACTTTATGAGATATAATTTACATGCCATAAAATATGCCGTTTAAAATCTAAACTTGAATCAGTTTTGGCAAGCATGTGCATCCATGTAACCACCACCACAGTCAAAATATCAATATTGCCATTTTGCCCCAGAAGTTTTCTGGTACCCTTGGTAGACAATTCCCCTGCAACTGGTCCCCTCCCATCATTGCTCTACTTCCTATCACCATGGAGTAGTTTGTTCTACAATTTCATATAAATTGAATTATACAGTATGTACTTTTTTGTGTCTGGTTTCTTTTGTTCAGGATAATGTTTTTTAGATTCATTCGTATTGTATTAGTAAGTCTGTTCACTTTTTTTGCCAAGTGATATTTTATTATATGGATAAACCACAATGTATTTATTCATTCTCCTGTTAATAACATCTGGGCTGCTTCTAGTTTTAAATTATGAATAAAGTTGAGTACACTTCAGCTTTTAATCTTATAATGAGTAAAGTTTTAGGCTATTACAAAGATTCCTGTACAGATCTTTGTGTGATCATATGTTTTCTTTTTGCTTTGGGTAAATAACTAGGAGTAGAATTATGGGTCTTGTGGTAATTATATATTAAACTTGATATGAAACTTTCAAACTGTTTTCCAAGTGATTGTATTGTGTTATCCTTTCACTAGCAATGTATGAAAGTTCTATTTGCTTTCATCCTCATCAACACTTGGTATTGTCTGTCTTTTTATTTAGCCATTCTATAATAGGTATAAAATGGTTTCTCATTGTGGCTTTAATTCCGTATTTTCCTATAACTAATGATACTTTTTTGAGGTATCTACTCACATTTGTTGTCAGCCTTTTAGACATTTAATTGAAATTTTAAAATTATCTGATTTCTTCTGAATATCTGGGACAATACCTGTGGATCATTTCCCTTGCTTGTGTTTTCAGGGTCAAAAGAATCTTCTGAGTCAAATTTAACTAGTATTTAATATCTTAGTTTTATTAAATGTAATGCCACACAGTGGGTGGGATAGAGCACGGAAAAGCAAGAGAAATATTGAAAACTGGACCCAAACAGAAGCTGAGGCAGAAAACGAGAAAAAGCAACAGAACTAGTGGTCAGGAGGATCAGGAGAAAATCAAGCTTTAAAAACTGGTAAAGGAGAAAATTTCAGAACAAAAACTATGAGCAGTAAGTGTAAGGTAATGATCTTTTACGTGGTAGCAAGTGTTTTTGTAGAGTCAAGTATGGAAATTCAAAGTAGCCAAAGAAGATTAACAAATATGACAATGTCACCTTCATAACCTTCCATCTTGTTTCGAGTTCAATACTTTAATAATATGACCAGGTCTTGCTGACTTCTCGTCCTTACTGAGAAAGCAGCCTCTAGTTAATAGAACAAGAGGTAAGGTTCAGGAACTGTGGCATTTACTCTTTGATATGTTTGTGAGGAACACCTTGCAATCTTGCCAAATACTTCATCTTTCTGCATCTCAATTTCCCTAACAATTGTATATAAACACCTTGAATAATAGAAGCCTGTATACTTAATCTTTCACACAATTAAGAGCAAACAACAACAAAACAATTAGTGCTAATACCATGAGCTCCAGAAATCCTCACAGACGCTCAAATGCTAAAGATTGTTAAGAGTTGTTCTGTGTTAGATGTGTGGTCTAACCAGACAGACTTTATGTGAAATGCTGTCTTGACAAAAATTTAATAACATGTGTGAAGTGAAAGATTCAGTGTTGAAGAATCCCTCTGAACATGCTTCCCTTCAGCACTGCCACATGAGAAAAGCAGACATGTGTTCACAGCCGGCTGGCTCCTGGTGTTATTCATTCTCTTTCTTCTCCATCTTTGAATCCCATTTCTGTGAGCCTTCCTCAGTCACAAATCACAATGACTTAGGAGAGGTGGAAGAGTTATCCTTAGAGGGGAGAATATCAACTCTTCTTTCTGAACCTTTCTAGGGAAAGAATTATTATAGGTTCTCTGTTTCAACAAGTGCATATGGAATGCCCACTATGGACACTGCGGGAGCAGGCAAAACTTGCCTTGGTTTTCTATTACATTATTTTCCTTTTAGGACAAACATGTTAGTATTAATACCATTGATTGGCAGACAGTAAAGACAGCGTAAGATCTCTACAACATATCTCCATTGATATTTTCACTTATATTGCTGTGTCTACAGAGAATTTTTGTTGTACTATAGATATTTTCATTACGGACTAGGGAAAAAGGAAAGATCTGCATTATTATCATTTATAGATAAAGAGACAACAAAAATAGGCATCTTAAAATTTAAGGCAAAAAAATTTGATTTTGCAACAAAAAAATAAACTGACATAAAAATGGGCAAAATGCAGTGATAAGATCAACAATCTGAAAAAATAAACAACATAAAGAAATTAATTTTTGCTACAGATAAGTCTTCAAATTTAATCAACTGCACCTCATAGAAAAAGAATAAACAGCTATCAGTGCATGGGCAATTTAGAGAAGAGGAAACCCAAAAGGCTAATAAGAAAATGAAGAGATGTTCAAGTTCATTATTAATCAGAAGTACAAATTAAAACCACAGTGAAGTTTCAGTCTATACTCTATAGACTAGCAAAAGCCTTAAAGCAATAAAAAGCCAAATGTTGATGGGAATATGATGATATGGGGTATGCATGGTGGGCACTACTGATGGGAGACCATCAGCCAGCCCGGAGAAGAGTGCACTGGCAGTATCCAATGAAGTTACATATTTTCCTGGGTATGTGTCACACCGAAATTCCAACAGTTATATAGGTGGGAAAGCATGAGGATATTCATTACAGTGTTGCTGATGATGATGGGGAGTGGAGGTCTTTCCTCGGGGGAGTGAACACATACAATATAGTGACCATTATGAAGCTCTATGCAGCAGCTAAAAGAGACACATGAAATAGAGTGCTGAAAAACATCTGTAAAGAAGAATGACTATAGCACAATGCCACTTATGTAAATTTTTAAAAATATACACATTAACAACAAAATACATTTAAAAGAATACATATGTTCAGAAGGATACACATTAAATATATTAGAATGACTGCCCATAAAAAAGGGGGAATGTAAAATGGAAGTGGAAATAAGAGTAAATAAACAAACAAAACAAGAAAGTGGCTTTGGAGGAACAATGATGGTAGGTAAGACCAAAAAGGAAACGAGGCCAAAGACCAAAAAGGAAAACCAAGGGGCAAGCGAAGGAAAACAGAAAGAGAGAAAGAGTGCTACCTCTAGGAAATAACCAAAATAATTAAGTATTGCCTTCTTGTTATCTCTGTACTCTTTGTTGTGAAAGTAGCAGACTTTTAGATAAACTGGAAACATTTTTTATAGGGAAAGAAACCAGTTTTCTTTGAAATGTAAGGATAGTGACAGGGAAGGGTTTGGATCATACTCCTAGGATTCATCTTGCCACACTTGTGGCAACCAGCAGACAAGAAATAGAAGCTATTGTGATAGCTGACAAAAATAAAACAGCCTTTAAAATAAGGCTCCGTGTGCTGTTAGCAAACAAAGTTACAATGAGTAAGGCTACAGAGCTCATAGTAAGTCCAATAGTGGAAATACTAGGAAAGGATCGCACCCCCAAAATCTTAATAAAATGCCAATTCCCTAGATACAGCGTTACAAATATATTTTGATCACTATAGTGCAATATTCTTACCTTTTTCAAGTATAAAAATTCTCTGAAAATCTTTAAGAAAATAATAATGATTGAACTTTACCTTAGAGAGTATACAGATAAACTTGGGCTTGGATGAGGAATTAAAATATTTCAAAAACTTCTGTTTTCTATAAAGAATAGTCTTTATCTTTTATATGGGAACAGCCTGATGAATGTCAGTTGTCTAACAGAGTTTGAAAGCAGCATGCCAGCTCCTCCATTTCAAGGAGGGTTAACAGCTGCTGTAGGGGAAAATGGGATTACCTGTTCAAATAGCTTTATAAACTATGGGTTAAGCAAAAGCTTGTGTTTCATAAACTACAGGACGTGTCAGAGCCTATGCTATGTTAGTACGCACTGTGAATATTCCAGATGTGTTGGATACAGCATTTCTTGATCTTATCTCACTGCAGACTCCATTCGCTGCAAAGCTCTTTGGGAGACTAATGTTCTTTCATACACACTTCCAGACATGCTCTTCTAGGTCAGGAGTTACCATATCTGGTTCATCATCAAAATCACACGGAGATATCTTCAGGTACAGATATAGATAGAAATATATAGAGATAGACTGTAGGTTCCATCAAGACTGACAGACTCAGAATTTCTGGTGGAGATGAGGAAGAAATTATGGGAAGCCCAGAAATTTGTGTTTTTAGTAAACTTTTCAGGTAATTTTGTTAATTGATCAAATTTGGGTATCATGCAAGACTTAATTGAAGCATACAACATTATTATCTGGTATGAAAGTCCCAAAGGTCTTTGTAAAGTTTTTTGTTTGTTTGTTTTTCATTTGTTGTTGTTGTTGTTTTGAGATCGAGTTTCGCTCTTGTCGCCTAGGCTGGAGTGCAATGGTGCCATCTCTGCGCACTGCAACCTCCACCTCCCAGGTTCAAGTGATTCTCCTGCCTAGCCTCCCGAGTAGCTGGGATTACAGGCGCCCACCATCACACCTGGCTAATTTTTGTATTTTTAGTAGAGAAGAGGTTTCACCACGTTGCCCGGGCTGGTCTCGAACTGATGACCTCAGGTGATCTGCCCACCTCGGCCTCCCAAAGTGCTGGGATTACAGGTGTAAGCCACTGTGCCCGGCCCTTTGTATAGGTTTAAACTTTAATAACTTCAGAAGTATAATGCTACACACTTACCAAAAAAAAAAAAACACTTGGAAGGTTAAATTTTCTAAATATTGTCATGTTTCTTATTCTAGTTTAACATAACCACTCTCTTGTGCTATGTATTGCTATAGTCAATATTCAAACTTTGCAGAAACAAAGGCATTGCATTTGTAATCTGAGCTTTAATATATCCAAAGAGTGAGGTGTTGAATCACACACAGTGCTTGTGATGTGACCTCACAAGAGTTTAATGGCGAGAGATCAGTTTAGTGAGGTGGCCAAGGAAGAGGACTTGCTGCACCAGAAAGTGTGGCATGAAAAAAAATTAAATTAAAAACTTACTTTTCATTATTTACTTTAATTACTTATGTTGTTAATTCAACAATCTGCCGTTGTACCTGAAGTAAATAACATTTCATGTTTAAGATGAATATCGTGAAGAATAAGAGGGCTCAAGTTGTTTTCCAAATTATCAAATTAAATTTTCATTTGCCATAACTGTGATGTGCAAATATACACTTAAGAAAAGTAGCAGTCTGTGAATTGATTGATTGTAATTCTTATATCAATGAGATATTCAGTGAACAAAAACAACTAATCCTCAGCCATTTCAGGTAAACAAGAAATTGCAATTTTAATTTAACTAATCTTGTAGGGAGAAATATATAGAAAGAGGTATTTAAGACTGGGCAAGGTGGCTCACACCTGTAATCCCAGCACTTTGGAAGGCTGAGGTGGGCGGATCACCTGAGGTAAGGAGTTCAACACCAGCCTGGCCAACAAGAGGAAACCCCATCTCTACAAAAAATACAAAAATTAGCCAGATGTGGTGGTGCACACCTGTAATCCCAGCTACTCGAGAGGCTGACATGGGAGAATCGCTTGAACTCCAGAGGCAGAAGTTGTGGTGAGCTGAGATTGCGCCACTGCACTCCAGCCTGGGCAACAAAAGTGAAACTCCATCTCAAAAAAAATACTTCAAGTTCTAGGGTACGTGTGCACAATGTGCAGATTTGTTACATAGGTATACATGTGCCATGTTGGTTTGCTGCACCCATCAACTCATCATTTATATTAGGTATTTCTACTAAGGCTATCCCTCCCCCAGCCCCCAACCCCCCAACAGGCCCCAGTGTGTGATGTTCCACTCCCTGTGTCCATGTGTTCTCATTGTTCAACTCCCACTTATGAGTGAGAACATGTGGTGTTTGGTTTTCTGTCCTTATGATATTTGCTGAGAATGATGGTTTCCAACTTCATCCATGTCCCTGTGAAGGACATGAACCCATCCTTTTTTATGGCTGCATAGTATTCCATGGTGTATATGTACCACATTTTCTTTATCCAGTCTATTATTGATGGACATTTGGGTTGGTTCCAAGTCTTTGCTATTGTGAATAGTACCTCAATAAACATACATGTGCATGTGTCTTTATAGTAGCATGATTTATAATCCTTTGGGTATATACCCAGTAATGGGATTGCTGGGTCAAATGGTATTTCTAGTTCTAGATCCTTGAGGAATCACCACACTGTCTTCCACAATGGTAGAACTAATTTACACTCCAACCAACAGTGTAAAAGTGTTCCTATTTATCCACATCCTCTCCAGCATCTGTTGTTTCCTGACTTTTTAATGATTACCATTCTAACTGGTGTGAGATGGTATCTCACTGTGGGTTTGATTGGCATTTCTCTGATGACCAGTGATGATGAGCATTTTTTTTCATATGTATGTTGGGTGCATAAATGTCTTCTTTTGAGAAGTGCCTGTTCATATCCTCTGCCCACTTTTTGATGGGGTTGTTTGTTTTTTCTTATAAATTTGTTTAAGATCTTTGTAGATTTTGGATATTAGCCCTTTGTTGATGGATAGATTGCAAAAATTTTCTCCCATTTGGTAGGTTTCCTGCTCACTGTGATGATAGTTTCTTTTGCTGTGCAGAAGCTCTTTAGTTTAATTAGATCCCATTTGTCAATTTTGGCTTTTGTTGCCATTGCTTTTGGTGTTTTAGTCATGAAGTCTCTGCCCATGCCTGTGTCTTGAATGGTATCGCCTATGTTTACTCCTAGGATTTTTATGGTTTTAGGTCTTACATTGAAGTCTTTAATCCATCTTGAGTTAATTTTTGTATCAGGTGTAAGGAAGGGATCCAGTTTCAGCTTTCTCCATATGGCTAGCCAGTTTTCCCAGCACCATTTATTAAATAGGGAATCCTTTCCCCATTGCTTGTTTGTGTCAAGTTTGTCAAAGATCAGATGGTTGTAGATGTGCAGTGTTATTTCTGAGGCCTCTGTTCTGTTCCATTGGTCTACATATCTGTTTTGGTACCAGTACCATGCTGTTTTGGTTACTGTAGCCTTGTACTATAGTTTGAAGTCAGGTAGTGTGATGCCTCCAGCTTTGTTCTTTTTGCTTAGGATTGTCTTGGCTATGCAGGCTCTTTTATGATTCCATATGAAATTTAAAGTAGTTTTTTCCAATTCTGTGAAGAAAGTCAGTGGTAGCTTGATGGGAATAGCATTGAATCTATAAATTACTTTGGGCAGTATGGCCATTTTCATGATAGTGATTCTTCCTATCCATGAGCATGGACTGTTCTTCCATTTGTTTGTGTCCTCTTTTATTTTGTTGAGCAGTGGTTTGTAGTCCTCCTTAAAGAGGTCCTTCACATCCCTTGTAAGTTGGATTTCTAGGTATTTTATTCAGAAAGAGATATTTAAATATATCTCTTCAAATAATGGTAATAAAATAATTTTAATTTCCATAACCAAACTTTAAAATTATGGCTTTTATAAGTTTATAGCCTTTATATTTCATATCTTATTAAATTGTACTTTAATTTTAACTTAAATTATGGGATCCTGTATGAGACAAATATATAAAACCCATATATCCATGCTAGTATGAAAATATAATTTATAGTCACTTATTATTAATTCATTCAGGGAGATGGCCATTATTCAATAAATGTTTGTTGAGTGTCTACTTTATAGCTGGAACTGTTTGAGATAGAGCTTATAGCTAAAGAAACAGATAAAGTCCCTGTCCTCATGCCACTTATATTCTACATAGGGAAGTCAAATGATAAACAAAGAATTAAAACATAGATGTGTCAGATACTGATGAGTGGAAAGGACAGTAAACAAAGAAAGGAGCATAGACAATTCGCTGGGAGGCTGGAGGAGTTGCTGTTTTATATAAGATGATTAAGTCCTCCTTGATAAAGTGACATTTGAACAGAGAAGTGAAGGAAAGAAAGAAGCACACCACGCTATTATCTTTTTTTATTTTTTTTCTTCGAGACGGAGTCTCGCTCTGTCACCCAGGCTGGAGTGCAATGGCGCAATCTCGGCTCACTGCAACCTCCGCCTCCCAGGTTCAAGCTATTCTCCCGCCTCAGCCTCCTGAGTAGCTGGTATTGCAGACATGCAACACCACACCCGGCTAATTTTTGTATTTTTAGTAGAGATGGGGTTTCACCATGTTGGTCAGTCTGGTCTAGAACTCCTGACCTCATGATCTGCCCGCCTTGGCCTCCCAAACTGCTGGGATTACAGGCGTGAGCCACTGCGCCCGGCCTACCACATTATTATCTGAGGAAAGGCAGTTTCAGACAGAGGAAACCCTAAGTGCCCACAGGAAGTGTGCTTGACAGGCTGAAAGAACAGTAAGGGGCCAGCATTCCTGGAGCATAATGAGAGATGGAGCAAAGTGGTGGAAACTCTGGAGGGTTTGGAGCAGAAGAGTGGCATGACCTGATTTACATTTTAAAATGAGAGACTGGCCAGGAACTGTGGCTCATGACTATAATCCTAACACTTTGGGAGGCTGAGGTGGGAGGATCTCTAGAGCCCAGGAGGTAGAGGGTCCAGTGAGCCATGATCGCGCCACTGCACTCCAGCCTGTGTGATAGAGCAAGACTCTCAAAAAAATAAAATAAAAAATAAATAAAAAGAGAGACAACCACAATCATTTTGGCACAGATGGTGGTCATGCAGACCAGTGTGGTAATGGTGTCTATAGCCAAAAGTGGCCCCACAGGATAAGAAGTGGACTAGATTTGGGTTATGAAAGAAAAAGAAAACCAAAAGATAATTTTGGGCCTGAGCAACTGAATATTTGGAGTTGTCATTTGCTGAAACAGGAAAGACCTCTAGAGGATTAGGGATGGGAGAGTAGAGGTGAGAAATCAGGGGTTCAGTTTAAGTTTCAAATGCTTAAGATGCATCTCCAAACTTGATTTGTAGAGTAAGCAGTTTGATACTGAGTTTGCATTTCAAGGAGAGGGTATAGCTAAAGAGATAAAGTTGAGCTTTGTCAGAGCACAGTTAGTATTAAAAGAGCCTACCTGGGGAGTATGTGTATATACAAAAGGGAAGAAGTAAGGGATACCCTAATGTTCGGAAGTTGGTGAGTGAGTCGGAACCCTCAAAGACATTGTGATATATGGAAACTAAGAGACAGAGGAGCTCATACTCTCCATGCATCTGGGTTTCTTAATGCCTTCCTCAGATACCTATGAATGTACCGAGATTAATTATAAAATAATGACGTAATTCATATTTATCCAAAATCCAAAGGGATATATAAAATGTAATTTTACTCTCCTCTCTCTCTGATGGATAAGGATGTAAATGAAAAATAAACAAGGTGATTAAAAAAAAAATCCAGGCTGGATCACAAACTCAATCTTGATTCCTGTCAGCTCTATCTCCTACACCTTCTGTCACATTTAATGTTCATCATGAAACTTCTGTGATACAAAGAGAACTCAAAAAGTCATCTGATGAAAATTCTGTGATACAAAGAGAACTCAAAAAGTCATCTGAATTATCAAAGAAAATTGACATTCACTATAATTGCAATGTGCTTTATACTTTTAAGAAAATTAGCAATGCATGAACTGTAGAATTATAACTCCTACATTAACAAGATACTCAATTAACAAAAATGCCCATTCCTCAATCAATAGAGGTAAGTGAAAAATTAAAATTCTCATTTAAATAAGTTTGCAGAGTAATATATAATGATATTTAAGTAAAATAGTTTAACAAGGAAAATTAATGGTGACAATTTTTTATTAAAACCACACTAAATCTTCACAATATAAATGCATGGTTTTCTTCTTATGTTATGGTTATGTTATAATTGACTAGTAAATAAATGAAATATATCAGACAGAGATCCTTAAAGTTTTAAAAAGCATTTCAAAGTGACCAATCCAAAGTGTGTGGATTAGGTATCTACCTATAAGGAGTGACTTGAGGAGCGTCAAGAAATGTGAAGAATGCAAAGTGTAAAAGAAAGAGGATGAACTTAGACTTTGGTTGGATTGGGTCTTATTAGCTGTGCTACCATGGATAGGTGAATTTACCTATCAGAGCCTTTTCTTGTAAAGCAAAGTCAGTCTCCCTATCAGAGTCGTTGCAGGATTATATGAGACCATTCATTTATTCATGAATTCTTACTGAGTTTTAACTGTGTTTAAAGATGGTGTTAGACCTTGGTTGTGAGAAGAAAAGATAGGATCATTTGAGTGTGATTCTGTATGTTTATCTATGGTTGAGTAGACAAGGAGACCCACAATATTTGAGCTGAAGTAATACATGAGAAAGCTATTGGAACATATTAGAAATGCAAAACGTGTGTATTTTATCTTCTCAATTTTGTTCCCAAATATTTTTCACAAATAGCTAGATGAGATAATTTTTTTAAAAATCACCATCTAATTTTGACATGAAGACCTCGTTTCAAAAAAGCCTTTTTAAGACTCAGATTAGAAAATACTGTGAAGTGGATGATGGAAGAAACTAATAGTTTGGGAAAACACACTATTATTTTTAATCCTCAAAACAATATAATAAGGTTAATACTATCAATAGTCTCATTTTAGAATTGGGGAAACTGAAGCTCAAAGAACCAAATGATTTTTCTAAAGTCATATAACTAAAATGTAGTGAATTTCAAACTTGAGCATAGAACTAACTCTAAAGATTTTTCTTTACCAATTACCACCAGGGGTGGTTTTGCCACAACTAAACGATACTTAAGCTTCAGGTCCCCTTAACCACATGAGATCCTCCCCGTTACCTTAGAAGGCTCTAAGCAATGTGGATAAAGAATGATATAAGGCTGTCTTATTCCTGTAATGTCAGCCTTTGAGAGGCTGAGGTGGGCAGCTTGGGATTGCTTGAGCCCAGGAGTTCAAGACCAGCCTAGGCAACATAGTGAAATCCCATCTCAACAGAAAATCAGCTGGGTGTCATGACGCACACTTGTAGTCCCAGCTACTCTGGAGGCTGAGGTGGGAAGATCACCAGGACGCTGAGGCTGCAGTGAATCATGATTGTCCTACTGCACTCTAGCCTGGGTAACAGAGAGAGACCCTGTCTCAAAAAAAAAAAAAAAAAAAAAAAGAATATCGTCAATCCAAAGAGATTTAACATTGTTTGCTGCACAAGAAAATTTCACAAGCCTGAAAGTTTATCATAACCATAAACATTTACATAAGTTTACATAAGAGCAATTACAAATTGTGAAGTGAAAAAGAAACTTCTAAAATGTCAGTAGTAGAAAATTTGATTCATTATGAAAGAGGAAAGACAAAATTATCTTTTCATTTTCTCTACAGAGATTGTTATTAAAATATTTTCATCATAATGAAGAGGCAATCAAAAAATATGCTGACAAATGTATAGGGAAAAGATATTTAAAATGTGTGACAGTTAATTAAAATAATTATATTATTTTTCTAGATTTTGTAATGTTTGCCATATTTGTTAACTTGAAAATTTGTCATTTAAGATTTTTTTCATTTTCAATAAATGTTTTCCTTTGTACCCAATTTTGTATTCTTTTTCTAAATGAGAGCCTCTCAAGTTGTGTAAACTTCCACAACTTGAGACAAAACCCAGACATGCCTCTGATTACCACCTATCAAATCCCCAGCTTCTTGACAAAGAACAGGTCCACAATGAAACAGAGCAGCAGATGGCCAGGTATGTGGCAAAGGAGGGATGCTCTCACTCTCAGGGTTGGCCCACCTGAGAGGAGCTGGGAAATGGGCAATTCCTATGAGCCAGAGTAGAGCAGGAGAGAAGTCATTATCTTGAGGGGAGCATCTATCAGGGGACATAGGACAATGAGAAAGGAGGTGACTGAAGTGCAAAAAAAACCCACCACACTCCACAGTCTTTCTTTACGGTCTAGACTATATTCTACCATCTTTTGCTGTATGGATCACATTCTATAGTTTCTAAATACCTCACCTTTAGCTAGGGAAACATTTCATTTACATACATTTTTCAGAAACTGGCTTATATTACTTTGAGTCCTTAATTTAAGGCAGATCACAGAAAATCCAATAACAAGAAAGAATCCTAGGAATTCTTTAGACCTGGCTTCATTTTACTACCAAAGAAACTTGACTTACTGAAGGCCACACAGCTCACTGGAGACAAAAGCTCAATCAATCGGATTAATTGAAAGTCTCTTCTGTGTTTAAGGCATTGGGAAAGGGAGAAAAAGTGACTAATAAAAAGAATCTGCCTTATATATTTAATATTTAGGATTAGAACAATATGTATAGTCATTAATAATATATATAAACATATACACATATATATTTAGTTCTAACTATTAAATATATGATATATAGTGCATAGTCACTTAAGAGCAACCAAAAATGCTATAAAAACAAAAATAAAACTCCATTAGATATAAGTATAAATAGCAATATAAGAATATTTTAACATGCATCAGAAAATTCTAGGGTATTAACATATTTAATAATTGTTAACAGTATTAATAGGAAAACAAATATTTGTATCATTGCCTATACAAACGAAATTCAGATATGATAGAATTGAACAATTATTCTTTGTTTTTATTTTCTATTTTTTATTATTTGTAATGAATGTTATAGTTCTTTTTTAAGACAAAATAACTTTCAGATAAATGTCAACTAAACTTTATATATAAACTTTATGTGTGTGTGTGTATACAAAATAATGTCTGAGTCCTCAGAATATAAGATTCTAGATAAAATATGAAATTTAGGAATGAAGAAGTCAAAGGCAACAAGATGTTTGTTACTTTGTGAATTACCTCTACCTTTACAGAAATCCAAATTAGTTTTATCTTTAGCTGGATTCATGAGAGAAATGTTCCATCAAGATAATCCACCAAAAACCACACTTCAAAAGTGAAGTTTGAAAAAAAGAGATTTGTCTTTCCTAATCTAAAGTAAAACACTGAAAGAAACAGATTAAAACACGAAAGAGGGGATGGAGATTTCAAAATTACTCCATTCTGGCTGGGCATGGTGGCTGACACCTGTAATCCCAGCACTTTGGGAGGCTGAGGCAGGTGGATCAGGAGGTCAGGAGTTCGAGACCAGCCTGGCCAACATGTGAAACCCCATCTCTACTAAAAATACAAAAAATTAGCTGGGCATGGTGGCAGGTACATGTAATCCCAGCTACTCAGGAGGCTGAGGCAGGAGAATCACTTGAACCTGGGAGGCAGAGGTTGCAGTGAGCCAAGATCGTGCCATTGCACTCCAGCCTAGGTGACAGAGCGAGACTACGTCTCAAAAAAAAAAAAAAAATTACTCCATTCCATATTACCTCCTATCTCCCACTCTATCCCACCCCACCTCATCCGCCTGGGAAAAAACCTTAAAAATTAGTATTTTGAAACAGAACCAGAGTACATTAACTTTCTCTTAATGCCATAGCTGTCTGAAAGTTGGAAGGAAAACTCTAAACGAGATTATGGTTCTTCCTTTTTCATTGTTGTTGTGTTTCTGGCCGCTCATTTTTGGGTTTTTGAAAACCAAAGAAAGAATAAGCCACTGGATGGACAGACAGACAATTGCTTGAAGCCAAATTATCAGTAGCTTAAGTAGTAATCCTTTAAGTGTATTGCCAAACATACCACAAAGAGATCTGAAATAGCTCTTGAGTGAAAAAAGCTGAGGTGATGTGGTGACAGCATACCTCAAACTGTTCTGACCGCCTGAGACTTTAAGATGTTACTTTCATCTCCTTAAAAGGTACATAAAGGACAGCGAGGTTTGGAGCCTTCCTTCACTGTAGCTTGAATTATTAGAAGTTTTTTATTGTAATAGTAAAAATTACCTCCACGATGCAAGCTGTGACAACATAAAAGCTACAGCAATCTCCTGAAATTATAAATGAATCCATTTTAGCTGCATTTTTCTTTGCTTTACCAGAAGACAGAAAACTGTGAGACGGTGTATGCTATTCCAGTTAGACATACTGGCCTATATCATTAAGATTTCAAGGCAAGAAACCCTTAACAGAATAATAAATTTCAGTTCAAAACGGGACTGGTTTTTTTTAACTTTTATTTTCGATTCAGGAGCATATGTGCAGGTTTGCTATGTGGGTAAATGGAGTGTCACTGAGGCTTGGTGTATTAATGATCCCATCACCAAGGCAGTGAGCATAGCACCCAATAGGTAGCCTTTCAACCTACCCACTTCTTCCCAACCTCCCACCTCAAGCGCTCCCCACTGTCTATTGTTCCCATCTTTGTGTCCATGTGTATTCAATGTTTAGCTCCCACTTACAAGTAAGAACACATAGTTTTTGGTTTTCTGAGAACTGAACTAATAAAAATTACCTTGTAAATGTCAAAACATCAGCAGAGCAGTAAACAAACCCCTTTGCCAAAATTCCATTTGGGAAATAGTTGTAATGATTATTTTTCTTGGTATAAAAATAGAAACAGCAATAGAAAATAGATAATTTAGATTTTTATTTTTTCAGCTTATAAAACTTCTTGTTTTTAATTTTTATGGATGCATAATAGTTATACATATTTATGGAGTACATGTGATATTTTGATAAGAGCATACAATATGTAGTAATCCAATCGGGGTAATTTGGGTATCCATCACCTCAACCATTTATCATTTCTTTTTGTTAGGAACATTTCAATTCTACTCTTTTAGTTATTTTTAAATAAACAATAAATTATCCTTAACTATAGTCACCCTATTGTGGCTGTACACTAGTTTTTTAGAAGCATGACAAATATTATGTATGTTCTTCTGAAGATAAAGGCAAAAACCACAGAGCCATTTATATACTGTAATCTCTTCTCATCTTCCTTTTATTTCACATTTTTCTGCATTTAGGGAGTAAGGGAAGCATTGTAAAAATGAAACTGGCAAGTTTTTTGGGTTTCTTGTTCTGCTTGTTTGTACGTTGTTTGTTTTTTGTTTGTTTGGGGGTTTTGAATGGGGGGGTGTTGTTTGTTTGTTTTGAGACAGAGTCTCTGTCACCCAGGCTGGAGTGCAGTGGCATGATCTTGGCTCACTGCAGCCTCAACCTCCCTGAGCTAAGGTGATCCTCCTGCCTCAGTCTCCCAAGTAGCTGGGACTACAGGCGTGCACCACCATGCTCGGCTTTTTTGTAATTTTAGTAGAGACGGTGTTTCACTGTGTTGACCAGGCTGGTCTCGATCTCCTGGCCTCAAGTGATCCATCTGCCTCATCCTCCCAAAGTGGTGTTTTTTTTTTTTTAAGACAGAGTCTTACTCTGTCAAATAGGCTGGGGTGCAGTGGTACAACCACGGCTCACCGCAACCTCCATCTCTCAGACTCAAGTGATCCTCCCACCTCAGCCTCCCAAGTAGCCAGGATTACAGGTGTGCACCACCATGCCGTTTTTTTGTCTTTTTTGTAGAGACGGGGTTTTGCCATGTTGCCCAGGCTGGTCTCAAACTCCTGGACTCAAGCCATCTGAAGCCACCTGCCTCAGCTTCCCAAAGTGCTAGGATTACAGGTGTGAACCATTGTGCCCAGCCTGCAAGTATTATTTTTTATTAATATATATTTTTTGTAACAAATTCAGACAACACATATGTATACATCAGAAAATAAAGGCCCCATTCTTCCTCTATCCCATTCCCTTAATGTTAATATATATCCTTTTTGTTTTCTATGCATATACACTATATGTAACTATAGAATGCATATGTAATGAAATATTCATTTACCCTAACTTTCAAGTATTTTTAACTTACTTTTATTACAGTATTTAAAACTGTAAGAAAGTCACAGCACCAAAGAGACGAAATATTTTTTGGTCCAAAATGAATAACTGTTCAGTAACTCCAATCCAAGACGTATAGAAACCAAGTACAATTCTGCATTCTTCCAGGCAATTTTTGTGGAAATGAGATTAGCATAACTTGCCAGGTAAAAACAATCATAGTAAAAACCATGGAAACTACTAAACCAGACAATCTTTAAAAAAAAAAAAAAAAAGGCAAGGAACAGAGAGTATACAATATCTCTATTCAGTAAGGACTCAGATAAGCTTAAATCATAAAATTTTCAGAAACATTGCCAGAAATACCCATATTTGCAGCTTATCCCAAGAGCATTACCAATTCCAGCATACATTCTACTGACTTTTTCTCTTTTGCTTCTGGTTTTAAAAATGTCCTTTAACTTCTTAACACTTTAATTAACAAAGAGTTCCTTTAATGTCAGTGCTGTTATGTACAATAAAGTGCATCATTTAATGCTACTAAGTTCTAAAGTATTTGTGATTTTTCTTTCATTTATACCAATAACCTGAGTGTGATGCAAATTAACAATTCCCATATTAGTTGTCTGTGTGTCATTGATACAGCAACTGCAGTCACTGGGTTTCCCAGTGACTATGAGTGATTTAGATTGGATTTACATTGGATTTACATTGTATCAGCATCCAAGTGCTAATTTCTGAAACTGGTCACAGTGTGGTTGAATGTGGTAGGATGATTCACTGAGATCCTAAATCCTTACAGCCAGTGGTATGCTGGTAAATGGTTAACAATCAGTTCTGTGGGATGGGGAGAAGGTCAGCCCTGATTTGCAGTATTTTCCAGTTCCTATGAAATAAATATCCCTACCATCGCCAATTTGAAGATATCAACATGAGGTCATTGACTTCAGAGTTGGGAAGAGAGGTGCACCTTCAGTTCTTGAGAACCTCTACAAGCTGCCTCTAGCATATTTCTTCATAGATATGTTAAAAATGTAACTTAGAAATCAGTGACATCCAAACCTTTCACTCCCAATAACAACACTCATGATTACCTGAAAAACAAAAAGAACCCCAGTCAATATCCTCCCTTTCCCTCTTCCCATTACATCTCTCTCTCTTTTGGAATATTGAGTCTAATGAGTTTAATGGCTCAGCTAAGCTTTTGATCTTAAGCCTCTTCCCTTGAACCTATGAATTAAAGTCTTCTCTCCACTTGGCACATTTGGCAATACCATGGTCTTTTTAAAAATAAGGGGGAATAAAGGAAACATAAAGGCATCTTCCATGGTTGTTTTTTAAGTCCAGAGCAGTAGATGTTTATTTCCTATCAGCAGGACTAGAGTCAAGAGGAAGGCTAAATAACTATAATTACTCCCTAGGGAATATTTGCAACATGCAAAGTTGTGATACTGGGAGCCTCCTCAAAAATTCTTTCCCATCTCTTCATTTTTACAATCACCTCAAATGGCTTCACATAGTAAGTGCACAGCAAAGTGCCTGGCACAGAGAGATGATGGACACATGTCTGTTGAATAAATATGTGAATATTCATCTCCTCTCTCAATCCTCTGTCAGTCTTGTGATACCCTTTTATGGACAGCTCTTAGAAGGAAGTATGTATTAATATAAGATAGTTGTACCACCATAATGTATTCTCAGCTATTTTACTTTGTAAGTAATACAAAGATCAGTGATGGAAGGGAATATGGTTGAAATACTTCTGAATTTAGCAGTGGAAGAATTAATTTGCTAAACTGTGGTTATGAGAAAATACTGTATTTCTAAAATTGTCCAAAATTGTTGGTACCTGTGCTGTAACTATTCCTCCAGACTTCAAGGGTCACATTCACTGGGGAGAGCCTGCTTGTACTCCAGGAAGCCAAGTGAGCAACTAGAAGACGGCAATAAATGAAAGCACTTGGCTCAGAATTGCATTCAACAAATACTGGTGTGTGTGTGTGTGTGTGTGTGTGTGTGTGTGTGTGTGTGTGTGTGTGTGTGTTAGCTTTCTGCTTTTCCAATAGTTTCCCTGCTGTTTTTCCTTCACTAATACTATAATCACAAATTAGCACTGTCATAATCTCTATCAGGAACCTGCCTTCAACTGGGCAGCAGTAGCAACCAGTCCCATATTTTCATGTGTGTAGATAAATGTAGATCTGTTCTTCCTTGAGCTGATGTGGAAAACAAGGACTTTTGAGGAAGACTCAATTCAATAATTTCATGTGTTTCATTACAAATACACAAAATTATCCCAAGTTGTATCCTTTTATTTTGTAAGCTGCATTACAATAATTATTTCCCACTATTATCTTTGGAAATATACTGATTGAAATATTGAAATATAAAGTGGTAATACTATATATTACCATTTTATAGTCTCTGACTAGCTAATCTGAATTTTAATTCAGAGATACATACGGTACCTAAATACATGTTGCAAGAATGTTTGCTGTCTTAATGAATAAATGAGTGAATGAATTAATGATGTAAGGTCAAAATCACTATCGTGGAATCTAAATGCATATTGATGCACAATCCAATTGAAAAGCACTCACTTAGAACACATCTCATTGCTAGCTTGGATATTGACCACACTTGATATATTTCATTCAACTCTGCATCTTGTTAGAGACCTGAAAATATGTTATTCTACAACTGCCAAGCCAAATCTTTATAAACTTTATGGTTATAGTTGTTATAGTAGAATAAAATATTGTTCTCTCTAATGAGCTTTCCCAAGAAAATTTTAAAATTTTGGAATTAAACCTGGTTTTATCACTGTGCCTTCTTAAAAATTCAGTAATTTACATTATAATTAAAAGTTTCAAGCATAATTCTAGAGAAGACAGTTCCCCAGTTGTTGGTATGACTATTTTGTTTGCCAAAAACCAAAAGGCCGGCAGAGGTCCTTTCAATCCTATAGCTACAAACCTACACAGGAAAGATCTCATCTTAAGTAAAGGAATCTAATGATTTACAGAGAAAGAGAAAAACTAGTGCCTTCCTAGATAGTAAGAGCTGTATTTCAAACATTTGCCTTCCTATTGGTCCCAGAAATTAATTTCCCAATATAAGAAGACAAATCCAACTAAAGTCAACTACTTTTCCACTGTTTGGTCATATACTAACCTGTAACTTACAGTACATTCAAGATTCCTTCCTTCCTTCCTTTCTTCAGTAGACACAACTAAACAACTGTTATATCCAGTGATTAAAAATTAATGTTTAGAATAGAAAATAAAATTCTACTTATCAATTAAAAATAATGTTTTTTGTGTTCAAAAAACTACTAAACAAAGAAACTCATGTTTTTAATAGTAAACACTTATTCAGTATCTACTATTGGCTTTTTTGTTGTTTTTCTTTTTAACTTTAGATTTAGTACTATTGTTGCTCCCAGAAAACTGGTTGGCTAGCAAGGGCTGTCTGCAAAATCCCCAATGTGGCAATAGTAGAGCTGAAATCACTTTACCCAACTTGTGTCAGCTATTCCTGATGACAAGAGTGCCAGCAAGGTGGGGCAAGCTTATAGTCAGATTAAGAAGAGGTTTAATCCTCTACTTCCCCAATATTAATATAATGCAGCAGTTTCTCTTTCCACAGGGTGCAATTAATAATCATTTCTCATTCAAACAGCTGAGACACAACACTGCCATTAGGCAGTGTTGCTGCAACAGCTGAGTCATCCCTTTCAATTTGGTGTCAATTAGGCTAATTAGTGGTTAGCAGCTCAGACTGCCCTTCAATCATTTGGAAATGGCTCTCCAAAAAGTCAGGCACTTGCTCTAAAATTTTCTCACATACTGATGGTATATGTCTTGACTGCTAAGACAGAAGCTTTAGGCTGGAAAGATGATATTTGGCCACCACATTTATCTGCCCATTGTCACAAAATAGAGTTTTTCTTGGCCACCCACTAGTTCTATGGCCTCTTGTCAGCCATAGCAGTTGAGGCACAATTTGTTGGCCACTGATATTACTGAATCCTATTATCTTTTCATCTCACCAGCTAGGTGGTCGGGGTGTGCTTTCCCCTAAGGGCATATGTACCTGTTAAAACACTATTTCTTTTGGCTCTGATTCTAAACCCAGGCAGAAGGGATTAGAAACCTGGCTTTTAATTGTGCTTGCCTTTTTCTTTTGCGAACAGCAATCATTCTGTAACCCCTTTTTGTGATATGAGAATGAACACTGGATTAAAGCATATTTTTGATTCCTCACCAACCATTCTAGTCTGTCAGGCACCTTGTTTAAGCCGGTGGGTGTGCTTATCAGCAGCTCAGCTTTGGCAGAAGGCAAACATTGAGCAATTTCAAAGCAAATCTGGTTCCTACTCCTAGAAAAGATGCCTACGAACAAGTTTATGGAGATAATTCAAAGAACTATTCAGCATTGTTCATTTAGTTATCAAATTCAAATCTTTAAAGTTTTGACAGAGTAATGATTTCCTTCGTAAGATTTAAATACTCATAATACGTAAACAAAGAGCCTTCATACATTATAGAAAAACATAAAGTAGGTTGTTCTGTAAATAAAATCATCATTTGAAATATATCTTTTCAGAATTCAGGTAGTGTTACTACTACTTTTTAAAATTGTAATGTATGCTGACATGACTCATCATATAAGAAAATTTCAATTTAAATAGTCCTCCACTATGCCCTATCCTAATGGTTTAGATTTTAAGAAAAGTTTTCTTGTTCTATTGCGTTATTTATGTTATCAACTTTTTGATTCTAAGAAATTGAATCTCATGTAATAAGACTACATATCAATATACTTTGCAAATGCAAAAGAAATTTCAAGGAGTTGGTATAAAATCAGAGAATTTGCTAATTGAATATTAATGATGACTTAGTAAAATATCTAAGTAGTGAATCTCACACCAAATTTTATGTAAATAATATTCAAAATACATCACTGACACAACAAATTTACATATAGAAGCTTATCTGTGATGCAAGTTAAATATAATCTATACTTTCACTTTATAAATATCATTTTTATTTTATCTACATGTTTATAGTCTACATAATTTGTATAAGATATATTTATATATCCTATAGTGTTCAGTTACATATGAAATTTTTAAATATACATTTGAATTTACATAGTGTAACCAAATTAAAAGAATTTTAAACACTCAGATATTTTTAAAGGTGACATCTATTATAGCTATAGAAAAATGTGACCAGCGAAAAGCTGATAAATAAAAAGACTCATTTTGACTAAACAGTGGCTCAGCAAATTAAATCATTTAATGCATTGAATGATCCTATAATTTCTTAATATTCATTTAAAAGCATTTTCTGACAATTTTTATTTTAAATTAATCATCAGAAGACAAATTTTTTTAGCAATATAAATACTTGAAAATATTCAAAATATTTGTGCTCTTTAAGCTGAACTCATATAGATATAGGACTGAATAGCTACAGCAAGATGGGAATATCTTTGTAAATAGAGCAAATTATGGATGAGAAACTTGTAAGTTTTTATTTTTATTTTTTTCTTTGTTTTTGGTTTCTTTTCTTTGTTTTAGTTCCTTTCTTTGTTTCTTTTTTTTTTTTTAAGTTTTTATTTTTATTTGCCTTACCATCAGTAAGGCTCAATCTTAGGTATTTTCCTCTAAATACAAAATGACACGTTGAAGAAATTTTTCTTAATAATTATATAAACACTATATAGTCCATATTACATGGACAAATTTTTTAAGCATTTTCTGTATCAAAGTTAAATTAACTTCTAAAACATGAGAATTGAAAAAGAGAAATAATTTATAATACTCTGCTATTATTTACTTAGCTAACACTTAGAAATTTTAAAGCTTCAACATTTTTCCTTTCACAATATTTCAATAGTAGGCAGTACCTGCACCCAGTTAAAACAATGCAAAAATAATACAGTATAGCTTGGAAAATATAACCAGTCTCTTTTCTATACTTGAAAGATAATATTTTCTGCACAGCTCTTTCTCATTGCTCATCAATAAGTTTCATACCATTAACATAGCAATTTGCTCTCATTGACATCAGTGTGAAAAATTACATTCTTAACTAGGCATATGAGCCAAGTAATTTTCAAAATATAAAACAGTGAGAGCAAACTATGAGATGACATCAGAGTCAGAAGGAAGAGGGTAAAATAAAATAGAAAAATTACAACTTACAAATCAGACCAGAGATTCCAGAAAGAGTAATGCTTAAGGAAATGTATACTTAATAGGGAATAAGGATTTTGTGGATTTTTTTAAGTTTCAACATAGTTCTTTTTAAAACCATCCATTTATTTAATCTGTATGAAAAGGTGTAATATTACTCTCCAACATGGTAGCCACTGGCCACATGTGGCTATGAGCATTTCAAGTGTGGCTAGTCCAAATTGAGATGTTCTTTAAGTGTAAAATACACCTGGGATTTCAAAAATTTAGTACAAAAAAGATCAAATATATTCTTAGTAACTTTTTATATTGATTACATGTTGAGGTGACAATATTTTGGATATGTTGTTAAATAATATATATTAGTAAAATTTATTTCACCTGTTTCTTTTTACTTTTTGTATATTCACCAGAAAATGTAAAAGTATACTTCTTGCATTCTATTTCTAATGAACAGCACTAGTGTAGAGTACATACTCATTGCACTAGAAATAATTAGTGACTCCAATCAAAATTTTGATGGGACTTATTTTTTCTGAAAAGCCTAAAAGATATCTTAAACAGATAAGTTTGTTTATTTTGACCAGCCTAACTGACAAAATTAGCCAAAAGAAAAATAAAAGTGAAGTAAATCCAAAGTCAGTAAAAAACACAAAACATGGGAAGTTATATAAAGATAGATAAATTGAGCAATTTTCCACTGGTCACATTGTTCAAATAGCTAAACCATTTGTGCTTATTGATACAACTCAATTTCTTATCTAAATCAATCAGATTAATCCAGCTAGGGAATATCTTACATTCTTGTTATTGTCCCAAATATATTGGTCAGATATTATTCCAAGCAATGGCTAGAATATTACATTCAAAAGCATAAGAGTGATAATGGGCATTAGGCTTATATATACAAAGGATGTTTACAAAACATGGAGTTTTAACTACTAATTATTTTTTAAGTAATATATTAATTTCTTAGAAATAAGACATTAATCCTATCAACAATCAGTAGCACGATTATTTTATTGGCAAATATGTTTGGGTATATAATGGTATCAAAATAGATACTGAAAGCCGAAAATTTTAATCAACCAACTAGCTGTTTTATACAGTGTTGAACAATCATAGTCAATAAAGTGGGTGTATCCAAAGAGCAGATTGGAACCCACTTTCATATTAAATAACATGAGAAAAGAAATGGCAAATAGAACTGAAAAATCTCACAGCTATGTAAGAAATAAATTATACTGCCTATACTAAGCTTCCATTTAACAGAAAGCTTTCCTTTCTCGTACTCTGTTTCCAGTAGATTTGTCACTTAAAGTTCTGTTCACATGGAATTTGATGAAATCCCCAGCAGACCACAAGATTGGTAAACCTGTTCTAACTGCTCTTACAATATCATGGAACAGAGCTTGAATTACCAATCCACCAGAGAATGCTAATGCAATTATGAGTGTTTACTTACACCATGTGTTTCTCACTGAGCCTCCCCCGCTGTGTCAGGATAAACCAAAGGGAGCTAATGTTTTATAGATGGTAAGACTCTGTTTGTTTTCAGTAGGGCTAAGTCTCCCAAAGCACTCAGACACACTAATTAAAGTAAACTGCAGAGGCCCATAATAAAATATATGTGTTTGGAGACTGTGAGATGAACCCTACTGGCTTATTAAAAGTCAAAAGAAAAATATACATTATTTATGACTTCAAAGGGACACATTGTGAGCTCCAGTTTATTTAAAGGATTAACTAAGCAGTGGTTATTGGTGACCATCTGAACAGTTCTTCTTTCACAGTTCATTAGTTCTGTCATATATGTGAGAAGTCATCATTTGGGTTCAAATCAAATATTATTAATCAAATAAATTACAGAGGGTACACCAACATTATTAAATGGAATCTTTGTGAAAATAGCTGCTAATAAATCTGGTACTTACTTTTTAACAGTTGCCTAGTTGCAACAATGTGATTTAGGTTTTCAAAATGTTGTATAAGTATTAAATAATACATTCTTCATAAATTTGGCCCTTCCAGAAATAGAAAGTTGGGGAATATAATTACAAAACAAATTGCTTCATGACTATCTATTTTCACAGAAGTTACTCCTTTAATCTAGAAACCTGGAAATTTCACAGGGAGTCCACTTTCCCATTTTCAACACAAGGCTGCAAGAGAAGAAAAAGTAATGGCTCATGAAAATTGAAGCCTTTCTATATCTTCAATATTTTTTTTTGAGACGGAGTCTTACTCTGTGGTTTATTAATTGTTCTAAATCAAGCCACATAATTCAAAGTGCACCATTTCTACTTTGCTTAAATAAGTCTGAACTAAGGATGATCAAAGCAAATCAATATTGCTGCATTTGTTCCCTGGCATTTATCTGAATAATTGCAAACTAGCCATGTTATTATTTCTATCAGTAAAAACTTTATATCATTTAACTGAATATTAACTTGCATCTGAAGAGTTCTTATAAATAAAACTGCACATATTTCATGGTACAGTCACTGAGAGAGTTTGTTTCTCATGTATTTCTAGGTTACCTTGAGATTTACCTGAGTTTATACATTAAAAAAAAGTGTACTCCCAAATAAGAAGCTGGACTTAAGATATCCCTTCTGAACTAGCTAGGAAGCAGAGGCTTTTTCGAGATAGCAGAAATGCTACTGTAGATCTGATATTGCCTCTGATTGAATTATTAGAGCTTTAATTTCATTTTTTCTTTATTCTCTCTCTCCTTCCTTCCCTTCTTCCTTCTCTCTTCTCTTTCTCACTCACTCACTCTCTCTCTTTTTCTCTCTCCCCACCAATCCCATCTGTGTCTCTCTCTGTTTGGCATTTGTTTCCATCTGAAATTTGCCCACAGTCTTTGTCATCATACACTTAGGAGAATACAATAAAACCTAGAGTTACGAGATGATATTTTGAACATTATGGGTTACATGTCCAGGAGGTGAATTAAAGTTGCTGCCAGTTATGAAGTAATGATAGAATATTTATTTTTATTTTCTTTATACATTCATTTTAATACCACTATCTTATACCATCATAAAGCAGAAAAAGACAAACTAAATAAAATAAAATAAACATTACCAAAATAGTACTTATTGAACATTTATTTTATTTCTATAATTTGTGTAACTTTACCTCAACAATGAGATTTATATAAGTTTAATTTTCAGATTTCATTAACCTATTAGCAGCAAAATGTATAATTTTAATGTTCTCCAAGGTATTAATGATGAAAAGAGTATATTACTTCCACTTGATTGTAAGTTGTTTCCCTAAATGCATATTACAATGGGAAAATAATAAAATTTATTGGATGAAGGGCTACTTGTCTTCTTTCTCCCATTTTTCTTGTGTCTACCTCTATTTTTTTTTTACCTCTTGTCCAATGGGCTTCCTAAGTCTATTTCTCTGAAATATTAAATTTAAGAGCATCTTTTTATCTTCACAATTTTGGAACTATCTCTAACTTCTGGAACTGTAAAGCTTTATGATTTTGTTGTCATTTAATAGAGCTCTATAGACCTTTTCCAAAAGCATCACTTGATTATTCTGTAAACAAAATTAAGCAAATGAACAAAACACTACCATGAAGGAACACACATTTTTAAAATCCATGCTCCCTTGAGCAATAAAAAGCAATTTGGCATGTATTGTGAACATGTATGTGTGAACTCAGTAAACTTCAGACAAGTCCCTTTAGTTTTGTTTCTTTGGTCCAAATAGTATCCTCTACTCATAGCCCCATTTTAACTATCTCTACCAGAATCAGGGTGTCCTTATTTCTGCATTGAATTGAAAGTATTTTACAAATATAATAAAGATTTTCCATTTTCAAATTAAACTTTGGTTTGAAATAAGATAAAGAATAGCTACATTTCTTTAGCATTTACTGTGAGATAGATCTATTATTACCTTCATTTTATAGATAAGAACAGTGAGATTTAGATAGATAGTTATTTTTTTAGTGTCATACTCTTGGTAAGCAATGAAGCCTTGATCTTGATACTAGCACAGACCTGTCTGAATCTAGAGCTGAAAGCTCAACTACGATCATGAATTGCCTTTCCAGTAATAGAAAACCAGTTGTCAAGCTACAAGACCAGATTTTAAGGCTCGTGATTAGACTGATAACGGATTTTGCCAAAAAATTAAATTGAAAATATTTATGATTGCTTAAATTATTTCATTAAAGTGTTTCCACCTCGTCTACAATAATAATGTAGATTATCATTATTATTATCTTAGAAACAAGAGGCTGGACAATGGAATGAATCAAACTTCCCTGACCACAGCATTCCTTAAAATGTTCATTACCCTCACATTGTGTGGCCTTGTTTTATCTTCTTAAGAGCATTGTTGTTGGAATTTATATAAACTTACTTCCTCTGGATAAAGATCTATGTTTGGATCCAAAATTTTCATATTATCAACATGACAATATTGATATAATGTTGTTTTGCCTCCTCCACAAGATTGCATCTTCCAAATAGCATAAATTGTGTCTCATTCATGCTCAAAGCCCGCTACACTGTAAGATTCCAGTACACATTCAACAAATGCTTATTGAACAAACTCATACTACTTTGTAGCATCCATAACAAGTTCCACAGTCTTCTGTATATGAATGGTATTCAGTAAATACACATTGGAAAAGTTATGACCTCTTTATTAAATAAAGAAGAACATCTTACTCAAAATATAACAGTAAAAGCATTTAATGTTTTAATGCAAAACCTCAAATATGGGTGGCCAAAAGAAATCATGGTAAGGTGACTTCCCTAAAATAAGACCCACCAAATCGCTAAGATCCAAAATAAAAATGAGAGATTTTTATTAATATATTTAATCCCATCTAACATCTTTCCCACTCAACTTTGAAAACAACAGGAAGTAGAAGAAAATGCCAAGTTATTAGTTGGTCTAGGACAGTCTTAGAAACAATTTTAAATTTATAACTCCAAATCTGAAGACTCAAGTATTTCTTCTAAAAATATTTATTTAGAAATAATTTAATACCATAAAGATATATAAAACCTTTTTTTCAGGTTTACAATTTAGTGTAGGGTCTGAGATTCAAATAGTTAAAAAAAGGAAAGAAAAAAAAGAAGTAGGATTTTCTCTTTCATATATTTATTCTAATAGGTATAATTTTATTAGCATCTGTCTTATCCATGAGACTGTAAGGCTTATTAGACAGAGGTTATGTCTATTTTTCTTCTTGATTTATTCCCAGTACCAAAGGCAGTACCTAGAAAACATGCACATTAAACCATCATTTGTTAACTGTTTATTATTGAGTTGTATATATCATTAAGTCCTGTAGGATTTTAGAGAGACAGTGATTGCTTCCAGTTGGAGTAATTATAGAAGGCAGTGGAAACAAAATAGCTTTTGAGTTGATCTTGAAGAATGAGTTCGAATTTCAGTAGATGGGGTTAAAAGTGTGTATTTCCATGTTGAGGAGCAAGGGAGTGGAGTTGAGGAAGGAAGGCTATCAGGCAGATAGAATAACACAAAGATAAAATACAAACATATTCAATTATAGCAAGCAAATTAACTGAAATGTGGGATTGGGGAGAAGGATTCCACAATAAAAATAATAATAATAGAACAGAAAGCTAAAAATTCAGATAAGATCAAAATTCAGAAATCCTTGAAATCTAAGCTAAATGTGGAAGGCTTTTGAACAGGTAATGAATAGCATTTTGTGAATCTAAATCTTCTAATAGACTGCAGCAGTTACTGCACCAAAACAATCAAAGCAGAAAACACTAGTTAGGAGACAATTGCAAAAATCCAAGTGGGAGGTAGATAAAGTTATGAAAATGTTTCTGCTAATTAATTTTTGCAAGATTTTTCCTTTAAATCAGCAAATTGTTAATTTTAGGGCTAAGGTGATTTTAGAAATTATCTTGCTCAAACCCCATATTTTTATGATTTAGGAAATTGAGGACTAAAGAGATTCAATGATCTGCCTAAGATTCCAAAGCCAAGACTGGAAGTGGATCTTCTAGTTTCCAGTTCTATTGTTCTTTCTATCTTAAATATATGCCTCCCTCAAGGTGACGCTTTAAATTAAAAGGAATTAACAAAGTAACAAATACAGAAATAGGACCTTTATTGCTACTTCACTAACCGAACAGTAACCTTATTTAATAGATCTTCCCTGCCTTATTTAATAGATCCCACTGAAACATTGTAATAAATGTAATAAAAGGGGAGATTAGGGCAAACATCAGTGGGAAGACATTAATTAGAGAAGGACCTCACCAATTCTCAGTTGACTAATCCTCAAACCCTGTAATTCTCATAAGAAAACTGGCAATCTTGCTTTACTTCTTATTGAAGAGATTTTCCAGCCAAAGAGAGCAGCAAGCTCAAGTAATCAGAATCTCATTAATTTTATTAAATATGCTATAAAGTCTCATAATAAATAATTAAGCCCTATCAGATATCTGATAGTCTTATCCCTTCTTATAGACATAAATAAAATGACAGTGCTTGCAATGAAAATCATAAAAGATAATTGTGATTATTGATGATAATAATACCTTATGTTTGTTTCAAGAGATTTTAAAGCTTTTCAAAGCATGACTGTTGCATCATAATTGGCATACAAAGCATTTATGTCCTAATCTATATAAATAAGTTTCTATCAACTACCTGTTACACCATCACTTGAAAATGGCTAGACAGATTTTCACCAAATTTGGCTTGTGATGGCCTGACTTAAGACATAAAATAATAATTGCTCAACAAATCCAGTGAGGAGGGCCCTCACAGGGGGGGTCTCCAAGGGAGAAGCTTTATCATCCAGAAACTGCCAACAGTGTTTGAAGCTGCACTGGGCAGAATAAACTGAAATACATAGATATAGTCTATGCTTATCTTATTAGGTATTAGAATATGATCCAAGGTTTCTTTTTCACTATTAAAAAATGTTAAAGACTGTCAAGTTTGTTTTTTAAAAATATATCATACATTTCTACTTATATAGGTAAATACTTCTGGCTGTTAGTAAAATTCAAAGTGCTGTAATTTTGTTTCTTTGTTTTTGACTGTACCTGGATTACAAATGCAATACAGAATTTATCATTTCAGTTTATTCTTTTTCATATAGCCATTAAATCAGTTGCTTGATGTGGTAGGCAGAATCTCTCCCCTAAATATGTCCACACCCTAATTCTTGGAACCTGTGAATATGCTAATTTGCATGGCAAAAAGGATTGTGAGAATGTAATTAAAATTACAATCCTTAAAATGTGGTAATTATCATGGATTATCCTGGTAGGCCCAGTGTAATCACATGAGCCATGACTCTGGCCATAGTCAGAGATGTTGCGGAAGGAGAAATCAGAGAGATTTGAAACATGATAGGGAATTGGTTCACCATGATTAGAGGTGACCTATGGAAAGCATGAGAGAGAATTCAACCAGCATCTAGAAGCAAAGACTAGCCCCAGCTGACAATCAACGAGGAACAAGGACCTCAGTCCTACAACCATAAGGAACTAAATTTGGCCAAGAAACTGAATAGCTTGGAAGCAGATTCTTCCCCCCAGAGCCTCCAGTAAGGAATGCAGCCCAGCTGGAACCTGGATTTTAGTCTCGTGAGACCCTAAGCAGAGGGTCCAGCCAAGTCCACAAGGAATTATAACCTACAAAAACTGACAGATTAATATATTTCTGTTGTTTGAAGTTGCTAAGGTTTGGTAATATGTTACAGCAGCAACAAAAAGAAAGAATACACCTGAGTATTCTGGTCAATGTCATTAATTCAGGACATGCCATATGTAAAGTACTATGCTAGAGTAAATGTTTCCTTACCTTGGATGACATACAATCTGGTTAGGAAGGTAAGATAAACATATAAAAATGTAATTAGTAAATCCAGGGAGTAGCAGGAATGCCTAGCAATATCATTTAGGGAAGTCTAGATAAAAGGTAGTTTTTTTTTTCTATGTATAGGGCAATGTTTCTCAAATTATAGCATATATCAGGATCACCAGGAATCTTTTGAAGATCTTATTAAAGATATCTCACTCAGGGCTGGACATGGTGGCTCAGGCCTGTAATCCCAGCACTTTAGGAAGCCGAGGTGGAAGAATCACTTGAAGCCAGGCGTTCAAGACCAGTCTGGGCAACAAGGGGAGAGACCCTGTCTCTACAATTTTTTTTTTTTTAATTAGCCAGACATGGTATCGTGCAACTATAGTCCCAACAACTCCAAAGGCTGAGGCAGGAGGATTGCTTGAGCCTAGGAGTTTGAGGCCACAGTGAGCTATGATGACACCACTGCACTCCAGTCCAGATGACAGAGTAAGAGCCGTCTCTAAAATAAAATAAAATAAAATAAAATAAAATAAAATAAAATAAAATAAAATAAAATAAAATAAAAATAAATAAAGATAAAGATAAAGATATCTCTGATTCAGTAAGTTTGGATGGGACTTGAGAAGTTGCGTTAGCAGATTTCTAGGTGAGACTCGTGCTGCTGATCCTAGGACCATACATTGAGAAGTAGAAAAGGGAAATAGTTTAAGCAAATATTTAAGGCTTAATTAGAAGTTCAAGAATTGTTTAGGGACCATGAGTTGACTTGCATGAAAATGGTGCTTTGCAAAGATTATTGAGGCCATAAATATTCAGAAAATATTTGTAGTTGGGAAGAGATCTAAAACAGAAAAAAAAGGGGGGGAGGGGGGAACCTTGAGAAATGGCAAAATACTATGAGATAAGAAAATATTAGTTAATAATAAATAGAGTAACCTGGCATGTTATACTAAAAGTAATTGATTCTTTAAGCTTTGGAGCATTTTATATTTTTTTCTTCTGTCAATTTTGGTGGTGTTTTTAGAAAACTTTATCCATTTCCTCCAAGCTGTCAAAGTTATTAGTATAAATTTATTTGTAATATCCTTTATTCCCATTTGGATGTCTTTAGTATCTGCAACATTGTTGCCTTTTTCATTATTAATATTGATAATTTGTGTTCTCTTTTGCTTTATCACCCTTAAAAAAGGTTTTCAATCATATTGACTTTTTCAAATAATCAAATTTTGACTGTCAAAACTTTCTTTACATTTATTTTCTCCTTTATTTTGGTTCTTATCTTTATAATTTCCTTTCAATATTTCTGTTTAGTATGATTTGTTGTAGGTGTTTCTAACTTATGAAGATGAAAGCATTAGAACAGTGATTTAAGCCCTTCTTCTCTTCTATTGTATGCATTTAATGCTACAAATTTCCACTGCAATACAGCTGTAGCTGCATTCCATGGGTTTTGCTATATCACATTTTATTATCATTTAATTTGAAATAATTTTTAAAAGTTTATTATTATTTCTTCCTTATCCCACAGGCTTTCATAAGTATTCTGTTTAACTTAAAGACAATTTTGGAATTTTTGATACATTTTGGTTATTATTTTATTACCTTTAGGAAAGCATATTCTGAATTATTTCAATCCTTGCAAATGTATTGAGATTTTTTATGGTCCAATTATAGTAAGTCTGATCAGCATTCCATGTGCATTTGAAAGGAATGTGAATTCTGTCATTGTTGGGCATATTGTTCTATATAAGTCAGTTAGGTCAAATTTGATAATTGTACTATTGAGATCTTCTATACTCCCACTAAGATTTTCATCTGCTTGTTCTCTCAGCTCTTAGGATAGGTCTATTTAAGTCACCAACTCTGATTATGGATTTGTATATTTTTCCTTTTCTTCCAGTTAATTTTTCCTTTATATTTTTTAATGTAATAAAATCATGTTATATACATAAATATTTTTAAGATTGTGACATTGTCCTAGTGGTTTGGCTATCACTTAAAGTCCCTATTTATCACCAATAATGACACAAACTTGACTTTTAAAATTAAAGTAGAATTTCTCTGACATTATTTATTTTGGGCTAGTATATACATGACATGTCTTTTTTAATCCTTTTACTTTCAATCATTATCTTACATTTGAGCTATGTATCTTGTAAGCATTACATAATTTGTTTTCCCCATCATCTACAACTTTAGTCTTTTTCTTTGCATATTTATTCCAATTGCATTAATTTAAGTGCATTTGTTTTTTATCCTTCCTTACCATCCTTGTCTAATCAAACATTTTTTAAAATTATTGTTCCATTTCCTGACTGGTTAAATTGTTAAATATGCCTTCTTTTAGCCATTAATCTATATGTTACAACATGCATCTATTATATTCTCATGTAAATTATTACTACTTTCCTAAAAAAATGCTAAAATCTTGAAGTGCCTTAACTTTACCTTTTTTCTGCCTTTTACATTAATTTTGTATTTTAATTCTACAAATATTTTACAAGTGCTTTATACTCCATAAGACATTATTTTATCACCAGTATTAACCTACAGAGTTACTTTTTCTAGTAGCCTACATTTCTTTTTATATTTTCATTATCTTATGTAGAATCATTTCCCTGTTCATTAAGAATTTTCTCGAGTATTTACTTCAATACAGACATGCTTATGAAAAATTCAGTTTTTATTTGCTTAAAATATCTTTATATCCCACTTCATTTTTGTAGGATATTTACCTGGTCATAGTATTCTAGGTTGGTAGTTATTTTCTTTTAACCCTTTCAATATTGCCTTCTGGCTTATATTATTTGTTAAGAAGACAGATGCAAGTCTTAAAATTATTTATTTAAAGTTAATAATTTTTCTCCAACTTAAAAAAATGTTTCTCTCTGTTCTGGATTTTCAGCAGTTTGACTATGATGTGCTTGTGTGTGTGTGTGTATGTGTGTGTACATGTGTGTGTGTGTGTGTACGTGTCTCTGTGTGTGTGTGTGTATTGGTTTTTTGGTTTTTGTATCCTTTTTGGGGTTTGCTGAGATTTTTGAATCTGTGTGTTTGTGCTTTCATCAGTTTGGGGACACACCAAGCCATTATCAAATATGGTTCTTCCCAATTTTCTCTCTCCTGTTTTGGTTACTCACATTAAACATATATTAGATTTCTTTACTATGTGCCACATCTTTTAGGCTATGTTTTATATTTCCTGTGTTTTTGGTGTGTTTTAATTTTAATACTGTGTGTTGACCTGTATTAACGTTCATCAATCCTATCTTCTGCTGTGCCCCACATGCTGTTAAACTCATTCACTGTGTTCTGAATTTCAGATGTTGTATTTTCAGATCTGCTGTAATGAGAAAACAGTATGCCTGAAAATGCAGCCAATAGAAAGAAATAATAAAATGTAGAGATGTAGAAATACTGGGAATCATGACATTACTTGAGTCTCTGGACCCAGTGCTGCTTGAAGCTAGTACTATCCGTGATCTTTCCAATTACATAAGTCAGTAAATCTTGTTTTTGTTAGTTGGAATTCAGCTTCCAATTACTTGAAACTCAAATAATCCTTACAAGTATAAATCACCAAGTTGGCATTCACTATATGCCAGTTTGTCATCCAGAGGTCCAGAACGGTCCCCAGCACAACAGCCTCTGCCCCATGGAATTGAGTGTGCCACCTTTCTGGCATGTGGATATGGTGACCAATTCAGAAGCCCCCCAAACTCCACCATGCAAAGATTTCTATGGAGGTTTTATTATTTAGGCATGATAAATGAAATCACAAGCCATTGAGGACTGAACTCAATCTCCAGCCACTCTCACCTCCCTGGAGTTAGGGAGACAAAGCTGAAAGTTCTAACTATAATCATGTGGTTAGTTTTTCTTGTGACCAGCCCTCATCCTCACCATCGGTCATCTCACTAGCATACAAAAGATAATAAATTCCAAGGGTTTTAGAACTCCATACCAGGAACCAATAATAGAAAACAATTATTTATTTTTATTATATACAATAAGAAATGAAAATTTTGATATGTAGATTCAATGAAATCCCAATCAAAATCCCAATACATTATTTTGCAGATATCAACCAACTGATTCTAAAGTTTATATGGAGAGGCACCCAGAGTAGTCAACATAATACTGAAGAAGAACAAAGTTGTATGACTGATATTACCAGACTTCAGGACTTACTATAACATACCTACAGTAGTCCAGACACTGTGGTGTTGGTAAAAGAATAGACAAATAGATCAGTGGAACATAATAGAGAACTCAGATACAGAATCACATAAATACAGTCAACTGATCTTTGGAAAAGCAGCAAAGGCAGTACAATAAAGCAAAATAGTCTTTTCAACAAACGGTGCTGGATACTTACATGCAAAAACACTGAATCTAGACACAGGTATTATTCCCTTCACAAAAATAAACTTAAAATGATTAATAGAGCTAAATGTAAAATACAAGAATATAAAACTCCTAGAAAATGAAGTGGGTGAAAATCAAATGACCTTGGGTATGATGATGACATTTTAGATATAATGCCAAGGGTATGATCCATGAAAAAAATAATTGATAAGCTGAACTTCATAAAAAAAAAAAAAAACTTCTGCTCTGTGAAAGACAATGTCAAGAAGATAAGACAAACCAAAGACTGGGAGAAAATATTTTCAAAAGACACATCTGCTAAAGGACTGTTATCCAAAATATATAAAGAACTCTTAAAACTCAACAATAAGGGAGGAGCCAAGATGGCCGAATAGGAACAGCTCCGGTCTACAGCTCCCAGCGTGAGCGACGCAGAAGACAGGTGATTTCTGCATTTCCATCTGAGGTACCGGGTTCATCTCACTAGGGAGTGCCAGACAGTGGCCGCAGGTCAGTGGGTGCGCACACCGTGCACGAGCCGAAGCAGGGCGAGGCATTGCCTCACCTGGGAAGCGCAAGGGGTCAGGGAGTTCCCTTTCCGAGTCAAAGAAAGGGGTGACGGATTCACCTGGAAAATCGGGTCACTCCCACCCGAATATTGCGCTTTTCAGACCGGCTTAAGAAACGGCGCACCACGAGAGTATATCCCACACCTGGCTCAGAGGGTCCTACGCCCACGGAATCTCGCTGATTGCTAGCACAGCAGTCTGAGATCAAACTGCAAGGCGGCAACGAGGCTGGGGGAGGGGCGCCCGCCATTGCCCAGGCTTGCTTAGGTAAACAAAGCAGCTGGGAAGCTCGAACTGGGTGGAGCCCACCACAGCTCAAGGAGGCCTGCCTGCCTCTGTAGGCTCCACCTCTGGGGGCAGGGCACAGACAAACAAAAAGACAGCAGTAACCTCTGCAGACTTAAGTGTCCCTGTCTGACAGCTTTGAAGAGAGCAGTGGTTCTCCCAGCACGCAGCTGGAGATCTGAGAGCGGGCAGACTGCCTCCTCAAGTGGGTCCCTGACCCCTGACCCCCGAGCAGCCTAACTGGGAGGCATCCCCCAGCAGGGGCACACTGACACCTCACACGGCAGGGTATTCCAACAGACCTGCAGCTGAGGGTCCTGTCTATTAGAAGGAAAACTAACAACCAGAAAGGACATCTACACCGAAAACCCATCTGTACATCACCATCATCAAAGACCAAAAGTAGATAAAACCACAAAGATGGGGAAAAAACAGAACAGAAAAACTGGAAACTCTAAAATGCAGAGCGCCTCTCCTCCTCCAAAGGAACGCAGTTCCTCACCAGCAACAGAACAAAGCTGGATGGAGAATGATTTTGACGAGCTGAGAGAAGAAGGCTTCAGACAATCAAATTACTCTGAGCTACGGGAGGACATTCAAACCAAAGGCAAAGAAGTTGAAAACTTTGAAAAAAATTTAGAAGAATGTATAACTAGAATAACCAATACAGAGAAGTGCTTAAAGGAGCTGATGGAGCTGAAAACCAAGGCTCGAGAACTACGTGAAGAATGCAGAAGCCTCAGGAGCCGATGCGATCAACTGGAAGAAAGGGTATCAGCAATGGAAGATGAAATGAATGAAATGAAGCTAGAAGGGAAGTTTAGAGAAAAAAGAATAAAAAGAAATGAGCAAAGCCTCCAAGAAATATGGGACTATGTGAAAAGACCAAATCTACGTCTAATTGGTGTACCTGAAAGTGATGTGGAGAATGGAACCAAGTTGGAAAACACTCTGCAGGATATTATCCAGGAGAACTTCCCCAATCTAGCAAGGCAGGCCAACGTTCAGATTCAGGAAATACAGAGAACGCCACAAAGATACTCCTCGAGAAGAGCAACTCCAAGACACATAATTGTCAGATTCACCAAAGTTGAAATGAAGGAAAAAATGTTAAGGGCAGCCAGAGAGAAAGGTCGGGTTACCCTCAAAGGAAAGCCCATCAGACTAACAGCGGATCTCTCGGCAGAAACCCTACAAGCCAGAAGAGAGTGGGGGCCAATATTCAACATTCTTAAAGAAAAGAATTTTCAACCCAGAATTTCATATCCAGCCAAACTAAGCTTCATAAGTGAAGGAGAAATAAAATACTTTATAGACAAGCAAATGCTGAGAGATTTTGTCACCACCAGGCCTGCCCTAAAAGAGCTCCTGAAGGAAGCGCTAAACATGGAAAGGAACAACCGGTACCAGCCGCTGCAAAATCATGCCAAAATGTAAAGACCATCGAGACTAGGAAGAAACTGCATCAACTAATGAGCAAAATCACCAGCTAACATCATAATGACAGGATCAAATTCACACATAACAATATTAACTTTAAATATAAATGGACTAAATTCTGCAATTAAAAGACACAGACTGGCAAGTTGGATAAAGAGTCAAGACCCATCAGTGTGCTGTATTCAGGAAACCCATCTCACGTGCAGAGACACACATAGGCTCAAAATAAAAGGATGGAGGAAGATCTACCAAGCAAATGGAAAACAAAAAAAGGCAGGGGTTGCAATCCTAGTCTCTGATAAAACAGACTTTAAACCAACAAAGATCAAAAGAGACAAAGAAGGCCATTACATAATGGTAAAGGGATCAATTCAACAAGAGGAGCTAACTATCCTAAATATTTATGCACCCAATACAGGAGCACCCAGATTCATAAAGCAAGTCCTGAGTGACCTACAAAGAGACTTAGACTCCCACACATTAATAATGGGAGACTTTAACACCCCACTGTCAACATTAGACAGATCAACGAGACAGAACGTCAACAAGGATACCCAGGAATTGAACTCAGCTCTGCACCAAGCAGACCTAATAGACATCTACAGAACTCTCCACCCCAAATCAACAGAATATACATTTTTTTCAGCACCACACCACACCTATTCCAAAATTGACCACATAGTTGGAAGTAAAGCTCTCCTCAGCAAATGTAAAAGAACAGAAATTATAACAAACTATCTCTCAGACCACAGTGCAATCAAACTAGAACTCAGGATTAAGAATCTCACTCAAAGCCGCTCAACTACATGGAAACTGAACAACCTGCTCCTGAATGACTACTGGGTACATAACGAAATGAAGGCAGAAATAAAGATGTTCTTTGAAACCAACGAGAACAAAGACACCACATACCAGAATCTCTGGGACGCATTCAAAGCAGTGTGTAGAGGGAAATTTATAGCACTAAATGCCCACAAGAGAAAGCAGGAAAGATCCAAAATTGACACCCTAACATCACAATTAAAAGAACTAGAAAAGCAAGAGCAAACACATTCAAAAGCTAGCAGAAGGCAAGAAATAACTAAAATCAGAGCAGAACTGAAGGAAATAGAGACACAAAAAACCCTTCAAAAAATCAATGAATCCAGGAGCTGGTTTTTTGAAAGGATCAACAAAATTGATAGACCGCTAGCAAGACTAATAAAGAAAAAAAGAGAGAAGAATCAAATAGACACAATAAAAAATGATAAAGGGGATATCACCACCGATCCCACAGAAATACAAACTACCATCAGAGAATACTACAAACACCTCTACACAAATAAACTAGAAAATCTAGAAGAAATGGATACATTCCTCGACACATACACTTTCCCAAGACTAAACCAGGAAGAAGTTGAATCTCTGAATAGACCAATAACAGGATCTGAAATTGTGGCAATAATCAATAGTTTACCAACCAAAAAGAGTCCAGGACCAGATGGATTCACAGCCGAATTCTACCAGAGGTACAAGGAGGAACTGGTACCATTCCTTCTGAAACTATTCCAATCAATAGAAAAAGAGGGAATCCTCCCTAACTCATTTTATGAGGCCAGCATCATTCTGATACCAAAGCCGGGCAGAGACACAACCAAAAAAGAGAATTTTAGACCAATATCCTTGATGAACATTGATGCAAAAATCCTCAATAAAATACTGGCAAACCGAATTCAGCAGCACATCAAAAAGCTTATCCACCATGATCAAGTGGGCTTCATCCCTGGGATGCAAGGCTGGTTCAATATACGCAAATCAATAAATGTAATCCAGCATATAAACAGAGCCAAAGACAAAAACCACTTGATTATCTCAATAGATGCAGAAAAAGCCTTTGACAAAATTCAACAACCCTTCATGCTAAAAACTCTCAATAAATTAGGTATTGATGGGACGTATTTCAAAATAATAAGAGCTATCTATGACAAACCCACAGCCAATATCATACTGAATGGGCAAAAACTGGAAGCATTCCCTTTGAAAACTGGCACAAGACAGGGATGCCCTCTCTCACCACTCCTATTCAACATAGTGTTGGAAGTTCTGGCCAGGGCAATCAGGCAGGAGAAGGAAATAAAGGGTATTCAATTAGGAAAAGAGGAAGTCAAATTGTCCCTGTTTGCAGACGACATGATTGTTTATCTAGAAAACCCCATCGTCTCAGCCCAAAATCTCCTTAAGCTGATAAGCAACTTCAGCAAAGTCTCAGGATACAAAATCAATGTACAAAAATCACAAGCATTCTTATACACCAACAACAGACAAACAGAGAGCCAAATCATGGGTGAACTCCCATTCACAATTGCTTCAAAGAGAATAAAATACCTAGGAATCCAACTTACAAGGGATGTGAAGGACCTCTTCAAGGAGAACTACAAACCACTGCTCAAGGAAATAAAAGAGGACACAAACAAATGGAAGAACATTCCATGCTCATGGATAGGAAGAATGAATATCGTGAAAATGGCCATACTGCCCAAGGTAATTTACAGATTCAATGCCATCCCCATCAAGCTACCAATGACTTTCTTCACAGAATTGGAAAAAACTACTTTAAAGTTCATATGGAACCAAAAAAGAGCCCGCATCGCCAAGTCAATCCTACGCCAAAAGAACAAAGCTGGAGGCATCACACTACCTGACTTCAAACTATACTACAAGGCTACAGTAACCAAAACAGCATGGTACTGGTACCAAAACAGAGATATAGATCAATGGAACAGAACAGAGCCCTCAGAAATAATGCCGCATATCTACAACTATCTGATCTTTGACAAACCTGAGAAAAACAAGCAATGGGGAAAGGATTCCCTATTGAATAAATGGTGCTGGGAAAACTGGCTAGCCATATGTAGAAAGCTGAAACTGGATCCCTTCCTTACACCTTATACAAAAATCAATTCAAGATGGATTAAAGATTTAAACGTTAGACCTAAAACCATAAAAACCCTAGAAGAAAACCTAGGCATTACCATTCAGGACATAGGCATGGGCAAGGACTTCATGTCCAAAACACCAAAAGCAATGGCAACAAAAGCCAAAATTGACAAATGGGATCTAATTAAACTAAAGAGCTTCTGCACAGCAAAAGAAACTACCATCAGAGTGAACAGGCAACCTACAACATGGGAGAAAATTTTCGCAACCTACTCATCTGACAAAGGGCTAATATCCAGAATCTACAATGAACTCAAACAAATTTACAAGAAAAAAACAAACAACCCCATCAAAAAGTGGGCGAAGGACATGAACAGACACTTCTCAAAAGAAGACATTTATGCAGCCAAAAAACACATGAAAAAATGCTCATCATCACTGGCCATCAGAGAAATGCAAATCAAAACCACTATGAGATATCATCTCACACCAGTTAGAATGGCAATCATTAAAAAGTCAGGAAACAACAGGTGCTGGAGAGGATGTGGAGAAATAGGAACACTTTTACCATGTTGGTGGGACTGTAAACTAGTTCAACCATTGTGGAAGTCAGTGTGGCGATTCCTCAGGGATCTAGAACTAGAAATACCATTTGACCCAGCCATCCCATTACTGGGTATATACCCAAAGGACTATAAATCATGCTGCTATAAAGACACATGCACACGTATGTTTATTGCGACACTATTCACAATAGCAAAGACTTGGAACCAACCCAAATGTCCAACAATGATAGACTGGATTAAGAAAATGTGGCACATATACACCATGGAATACTATGCAGCCATAAAAAATGATGAGTTCATATCCTTTGTAGGGACATGGATGAAATTGGAAACCATCATTCTCAGTAAACTATTGCAAGAACAAAAAACCAAACACCGCATATTCTCACTCATAGGTGGGAATTGAACAATGAGATCACATGGACACAGGAAGGGGAATATCACACTCTGGGGACTGTGGTGGGGTCGGCGGAGGGGGGAGGGATAGCATTGGGAGATATACCTAATGCTAGATGACACATTAGTGGGTGCAGCGCACCAGCATGGCACATGTATACATATGTAACTAACCTGCACAATGTGCACATGTACCCTAAAACTTAGAGTATAAAAAAAAAAAAAAAAAAAAAAATACTCAACAATAAGAAAGCACACAGCCTGATTTTTTAAATGTGCCAAAGGCCTTAACTGATGCCTCTCCAAAGAAGATATTCAGATAGCAAATAAGCATACAAAAAGATGCTCTACCTTGTATGTCATTTGGGAAATGCAAGTTAAAACAACAATGTGATACCACTGTTACGCAATTGATGAACCTACATTGACACATCATGATCACCCAAAAGTGAGCAGAAAGGTAAACAAAGCCTCTTTCTTGTGAATGTGAAGAAATGAGAGTAGGATAAAGAGTGTAAAAGTATTAAGAAAAGAATTACTAAAACAAATCAAGCTTTCCCTGGATCACTTCCTATGAAGACATATACAATTCCTCTTTTTAAAAGAAAATTTACCTAAAACCACAATGCATGTATAGTTACCACTTTCCATGGCAGTTCTGATGACATATAAAAATACATTTGAATTGGATTCTGTAAAGCATGTAATTTAAACATTGGTACAACGCTCTAAGTGGGTTTATAGAATCCATGGGTCTAACATATAGGTGAAATCATGTTACGATGGAATTCTTTCAATTATTCAGGTAATTTTATCCCAAACCATGCTCTGCTTACTATAATACTAAGGTGCTGTTATTCAGTGAAATGCTGTTTCTCACTGCTTTTTGTTATTTTCATTGTAAATAAATTCAAGAGCACTACAACTACATATGAATCAGTACATTTTAATGCTTTATTTAAAAATCCATGCTTAAAGTAATGTTGACTTTGTTGCTGCCACTGTAAAATTTTTAAAAACTATGTAAGTGGTCACATCTTCTAACAAGAAACGCATGGTTCACAAACACTTTAAAAACATGCGTTAAACCAATCGTGACTCCTGCGGGTTAAGTGTATGGGTTCCCGGTCAAAACAGATACAATTTCTCATAATATCTGGCCTCTATGCTGGTGTTCTTTATAATGCTATTATAAGAGGTTTCATTAGTCAAAGACATCTTCATCTAAAGCTTCCTTCTGGAAATCATATCCTATTTAATAAATTAGATGTAAAGCTCTTTATTCAGTTAACCACTTTGGATTTATTTATCTTAGATACATTTGGCGTAAAAACCTAAATCAGAAGTGTTTCACCCTGGTAAGGACATATAAAAATAAAATGGTCTTTCTCTCATTTTATTCCTTCCTATTTCCCTTTACCCCGCCTAGATATAATAACCTATTTCTGAAGTAATACGGATAATTCTGTGACAAATCCACTTCAGCCTTGGTAATGCCCTTCGTTTTGACTTCAAAACATTCACTGGCTCTCATGGATTTGTACTATTTAACACCCAGATAAAGGTAAGCTGCCTTTTTTAATAACGATGGATTACATTTTCTCGTTACATGCTCTTATTCAATTGGATTTTTTCAATTTAAGCACATCTATTCTAGGGAAAAATGTAAGTCTGAGAATAATTGTAGTTATTAGAAAAGTAAACATGATGAAACACAAAGTAACATAAACTGAAATTATCTGATTAAATTACTATAAAAAAGACATGTATTTCCATGGAAAAATGATGCAGCTATGTGCTCTGTATTTTCTCTCTCCATTCTTTGTTATAGGACTATGTCATTACTTGTACTTTCTTATAAACAAACATATGTGGAGGATGGGAGATATTTTAAGTAGAAATACAAGTTTGGGCCACGTGCAATCAAAGAAATGTGATGGCATTTTATGTGTGGAGACTGATCTAATAGTCTCTACGCTAACAAATGTGTCAATGTTTTTACCGAAGTTCTTCTTGAATATCAATTCCAGACCTCCAGAGCGTGAGGTTTTCAAATGTGCTAATCCTAATATTCTGATAATATGGCTAAATCTATTAAATTTATTTTGTTCAGTAAACTCAATTCAAATAAAACTGCCTTATTTTAATTGCTCAATAACTCAAATAAAACTGCCTTACAAAACTATACCATTCAATTTGAAACCACTAAAAAGTGTTCCTATATTACTGACAAATGAATATTTTAAAATTATTAAAATCACTTTTAAAATTATTAAATTATTAATTGAGTTAGAGCAGGAATAAATCAGTACTATTTCTAATAATAAAATTAGTTATGATGTTTCCAGCATCAGCATACTAAATGTAGCTATCATTTTACCTCTATTTTCCCTAAACCTCACAAGCATTCTGCAGGAAAGATATGCTGACCTCTTTTCCAGATGGGGACACTGAGGCTGAGAGATGTGAAGTGTCTTACCCTAAACAGCTCAACTAACTAGTTTCTTAAGTAGTATTTGAGCCCTGGTTGACCCAAATCCAAAGTGAATGATCAGCCTAGTACACTACTTAGCCTCTCACATTCCTGGTATCCAATACTGAGACTTGCTCCCAAGTGTTATCCCCTGCTCAGCACCTTGCACAGTGTCCGACATCTACGTAGGTGCTTAGTAAATGTTGAATGGATGAATGAAGCATGCATAAATAAATAAAATGTTAGGCTTGGTAGGGTACAGAACATGACCCACAAATGAAATGTACCCTCACAGTTTCTTAAAGCCAACATACAAAATCCATGAAAGTCTATGTCATTGGCATAAATGTAATTAAAATAACATTCATAGCAGTATATTTCTATTTGAACAATTGATATAAGTTACTCACCTTTTTGAGTACCAGAAAATGTGGTCATATATGTATATGTGTCTATATATATATAATAATCTGAGAAATTAGGCTTATTGATGTCTTCTACTGTTTTTCCTTCAATTCGAGCTTTATTATGATTAATGGAACATTCCCTTTTCCTGTGTCAGAATTAAAACAGTGTATTTCATATACATTCCTTTTTTAGAGATGCCAACGTTTAAACCTGACATTTGAGTTTTGAATCAAATTTTGTAGACAAAACATCTTTAGAGAACAGAATGCAATATTCATTATTTCCAGGCATGTTATTGTTGGATGTATCCTGCAGCAGTGAACCTGAAAGAGTGGCAGGATGAAAAAGTAAGAGTTCAAGAGAAACGAAAGCCAAGACAGAAAGAGAGGAGAGCAAAAGATGAAGAGAAAGAGAGGAAGAGGGAGGAGAGGAGGGAAGAGAAAAAGATCTGTATTTGTTTTACTACCTAGTGACAGCCATATAGAATGACATAATCCTGTTTTTGTAGGACTGTTTTGTTAAAGTAAGAATATTGTGTTTGTCTTATTTAAAACATTTCATAACCGTGCACCAAAAGAAAGATATGAAGACCCTCCTGTTTCATTTCCTGCCTCCATAGAATGTTGTGTTACTAAAATATTTTTATTACAGCAGAACCTGAAGCAATATAAAATGTTTGCTTGAGGATTATTTTTAGTCCCTTTAAGCTGAACTTCTGTAATGAAATCTATTTAGAGACATTCCATAATACCCTATGGTTACTAGCTTATGCAAATGAAGTGTGACCCTGGGAATAAACCTCTTGCCCCCTCATCATCCTCCCTGGCTTCAAAGGTCTCTAGGCAATCACTTTTTTAAGTGAAGAGATTTTAAGGCTGAATTGAAATAGAAAGAGAGGGAATATAACTTGATATATAATACTCGTACAACCCAACCATTTACTATCTACTGTTTTCCCATAAATATTTAGACACTAATTTATAAATCCATTTGGGATAAAGGTATTAGTACGTAATGATTTTTTTCTTTCAACCTCTACCTTTACTTTGGATTCTACAAACTAAAGACCAATATCAATCAATAGTCATTTACTCTAACTTCATTTCTTCTTACTTAAACTGAGGGTCACTAGATTGGGACAGAATTGGTTTAGTGATAACAAATCTCTGCTGATTATATTCTCACTGAAAATATATTTGTGCTGAACATCAGAATAATCAAAAGTGATCAGGAAGATTTATATAATTCTAAAGAGGATAATAACTAGGTATATGCTTAATATATTACTTGAATATATTAATATTGGAAAATATTGATGTTTAAAAACAATTGCAGAGAAAAATGATGGATCTCATTTTTAAGAGAAGGTTAATGAAATTGGATAACATTGCATTTTCAGAAATACTAGTGAATGGGAAAGAGCTGTCTAAAATGCTTGGATAATAACCATCATAATAAACTTTATAATTTTAGGGGTCCCTTCCTACTGGATGATACTATGAACACAAAGTTTACTTTTTATGGGACAAATTGTTTAAATGCAAGCCAGTTACAGATGGTGAGTGGATTCAAATCAGCTTTTGGAGGCCCTAGGGATCTCCAGGTCAAAGTGTCACCTCAGGATATTGCTAAAATTAGGAACTAATCCAGGATGACTCTGGGACTTGTAGGCCAAAAGGTCTGCTATACAATATTTCAAGAGATGGCAAACCACAGATAACTAACTTTTTAACCTGGTCAAATAGCACAATGAAGTTAAAGTGCCCTGGAAATTCTCTGCAAATACTTTTCTTTTTTCAATACTCTGGTAAAGTGTGGTGAATCTACCATTTTTCATAAAATATAGAGCTTTTTTAAAATTAAAGTAAATGTTACCATTTAAGCTCTGTTATTTATGTTCTGCTTTTTTGTATATGATTATCAAATTTATGTCATGAGGTTTTATTTTAGGTGGTTGATGTTGAATAGTCAGTATTTGGTATAGGTTAATGCTTAGGCCTTGAAATGCATAAGGCTTCACAAACTCTTCCTTTCTAAGGGGTAGGATCTCTATACTACAGCTATCTTCATGGAAAAATCTGATTAAGCTCCAGAATAGGGTAAACGGTCCTGAATCCCTGGCCAGTGACTGAAAGAGAGAAAATTAATCAACGATGTACTCAAAATAGGTGCCAGAAGTTGGTGCTAAAACTTAGCTGGTCACCGCAAAGTAATGACTCAAAATAAGATTGTTGCACCTGTTAATGCTACTAAGTTATACAGCAAATATGCATGGACCCAGAAAAAAAAAGAGAATGATGCAACAGAGGTAAGAATTAGAATTCAGAAGAAACTGGAGCATAGCAAACCAAAATCACAGCTAAAATACACCGGCAAATTATAAAGCCACAGAAACTAAGGGCCCAGTAGGAAAAAGTCAAGGAGCCTCAACCTGCAAAAAGCAGTAAATCTAGTAGAAAACATTGGATAATTAAAGAAAACTCTCCTGAAAAACAATATATAATTCCAGATTAGTACCCATGCAGACCAAAGTCAATTCCTTTCAGAAGCATTTCTCCAAACAGATATGTCAGGTTTTTAAACCTCAAGGACTAATAAATATTTGAGAAGAATTTCAACTGTAGACACTCCTCCTCCAGACTGAGAAAGGAATGAGAGGATGCCCCATGATAAAGAGCCACTCCTACAAGTGTAGCATGTTTGCAAGTTGACCTTCAACAGACTAATCCAATGGTTCACTTGTTCATTCATTCTCTCAACAAATATTAACTTTTGTTATATGACAATCATTCTGTTTATATGCTGCATATAAGACGGTGAACAAAACAAACCCCTTCTCAGCTCTTAAGCATGCAACCAAGTGAGGGAGACAAATTACTAAAAATAAACAAACAAAGAAGCAATTACAGGTGGGCAGATCATGAGGTCAAGAGATCAAGACCATGCTGGCCACTATGGTGAAATCCCATCTCTACTAAAAATACAAAAATTAGCTGGGCATGGTGGTGTGCACCTGCAGTCTCAGCTACTCGGCAGGCTGAGGCAGAGGCTGAAGTGAGCCGAGATCGCGTCACTCCACTCCAGCCTAGCAACAGAGTGAGACTCTTTCTAAAAAGAAAGAAAAAAGAAGCAATTACAGTTTATGATAAACATGATAAAAGGGTAAGGGGGATGCAGTAAGACAGAAAGACAGAATAATTGGGCGAGGGGGCTTTAATTTAGATAAAGTTCATGGAAGACATTTCTGATAAATGTTTTTTAAGAAACCTGAGACCTAGAAGCTGAGTAAAAGCCTGGTACAGAGGAGGCGAAAGAGTCTTCTAGGCAGGAAGACAAGCACGATTGAAAAACCTGAGGTGAGAAAGAGCTGGAAGCATTTGAGAAACTGAAAGAAGGGTCTCAAAGAGGCCATGAACAGAAAAATCTAGAGCAACTCATTCATGGAAGGACCACAAATCTACTGAAAGAAATATAGATGGTATTTTTATTTGCAACAAAGGGACATTAAAGAGCTTTACACAGGCCAGTTGAATGTCAAAAGCAGATTTACCAAGAAGCTAGTGGAGTTTCAACTTCAGAACCATTCAGGACCTTTCTGAAGTCCCAGAAGGAGCCCTAGCAAAGTGCTCGCTCACATATGTTTTCATAATATTATATATAGTCTGTAATGTTGCATATCTATATCGGCTCACTTTGCTCATGTGCCCCATGAGAGGGAAATTTAGTCTTTTTTGTATACTGCTATATCCCTAAAGACTAGAATAATAACTGGCATATAGGAGGTGCTCAATTAATATTTGTTGAATGAATGAAAGATCTTCAGGGCATGTTACAATGATATTCGCCTCCAAGCTGGATCTCTATGACTCTAGTGCTCCCTATCCAATACACCATATCTGATAGTAGTAAAGAACAATCAGTCCCTAAGAAAAGGGGAAGAAGTCTAATATACACATAAATATATAAATCACATATATATCTGATCATATCAGTACCCTCCTTATCTATTGCCCTTTGGCACCTCCCCACCACCTACAAGAATAAAGTCTCAGCAATTTAGAAAATCATGATCAGTAGAGCAAGTCACATAGATCCTCAACCTATTACATCATATGATAAGTTACTTAACATCCCAGTGTTCAAATTTTCTCCATAGGGCCATAGTGTATATTAAAGGTTATGCTTTTATAGTTTTTGAAAATGTCAGTTAAGACAGTCAATAACATCTACTACCTGCTTAGTAAAGCATGTAAGCAGAGAGCTCTGTAACTGAGTTTTCCTCCTTCTTTTCCTCTATATTTTCTTCTATCTTGCATTGACTTTGCTGTCCCTCCCTCAAACCATCACTCCCACCACACAATGCTTAGACTTTAGGATAAATATTGGTCAGATAGATCTTAAAGCAGAGAATGGAATAAAAAATGACAATAAACTTTGGAAAAAAATGATAGAAAGCCCAAGCTCCAGTTCCACAAAATGGTCATGGTCTCCAACTTTCTTAAGGTCCTGGCCACTATCATAAAAGAAACATCACATTTCTTACATAGTTTCAGAAGTGCCTGCTCTGAACCACACTTAGAAGTCAAGTAGCAAAACAGGATCCTTAGCAGCAAAGTGCTCAAATGTGTCAGTCATATCAGTTTTTATTTTCTTTGTTTTGTTTTGTCTTTTGTAGAGACAGGGTCTGGCTATGTTGCCCAGGCTAGTCTCAACCTCCTGGCCTCAAGTGATCCTCCTGCCTCAGCCTCCCAAAATACTGAGATTACAGTCATGAGACACTGTGCCCAACCTAGTCTTACCAGATTTGTATAAGATAATCACCATATCATTCATCAAAGAATCATATCCTAGGCTATATTTCCTTAGTGGATTAAAAATCTCAAAGAGTGAAGGCAGAGAAAAAGTTCTAAAATTTTACAGAAATGTATCATCAATGCAAACGGCCAGAAAATAATTGCAGAAAACCAAGGAGCATATTAGAGAAAAGGATTTACCTCTTTAGGCCAAGCTATATATAGACAGGACAGTATATCTGGGGTCCTGGCATTTCAACGCACACCCTGTCAGCAAGCCAAGCACATTCTGATAATGTTACATCAAAAGATACAACATTATCCCTGCAAGGGCCACAGGAGCCTAATATTTTCTCCTCTACCAATAAATAGATTTCAAATACAGTTGCCTTCTGGGTAGTCAAACCCTGGCTAGTTTGGGTATGATATAGGATGTGAACATAGGATGAGGAGGCACCTGAAGTCCTAGGAGACTGATATAAAAATAGAGTGTGCATTTTGAGTACATGGGCCAAAGATGCCCCACTCGTTTACAAGTAGAGCTTGTCACTAAGGAAAGAGATGGTAGATCATTTTCGTAGGAAGTACAGAACCAGTGATATCTTAAACTAGGATATGAGAGTAAAGAACAATGAGTCCTTAAGAAAAAGGAAAGTCTAGACTGTTACAAGCTCAGGGTTGAACACCGACTGAAGGCATTCTTGGGGGCAGGTCGCTGGGCACAATGTTTGATTGACATTGGAAGCCTTTCAGACTCAGCCACTTTTGCAAGGCTGCTGTGCTGTAGTGACTAGTAACTTTCACACTCAGATACTCTGTCAAGGCTGTGCTGTAGTGACTGGTAACTGAGCATATAAGCAAAGGGCCCCAATCTTATAGCATGGGTGGGCATCCAGCTGAAAAATGCAGGACAGGTTTCTGACATTGACACCATGTGGCAGAAGAAGGCAAAGGCATTCGTGAACTGAATAAACTTTCTTGTGCCTCTTGTGCTCTAGTACTTGAAATAAGACTAGCCTCTCCTTTAGTATTAAGGATTTTCTGGGCTTCTTGGGCAATTAAGTAGGAGATATGCTAATAGGACAGTTAAGTAATAGATGAGGCAATAACTCTCAAGGCTTCGGCATGGAAGTGGCACATATCCCTTGTCCATACTTCTTTGTAACACATTTCCTCCGCCAAAATATTTGGCTAAGCTTGATATTTAAGAGACCCGGTAGAAAAGGATGAAGTAAACAAGGGTCCAATAAAATGAAGTCCCAAATATTTTGACAATCATAGCATCTATCACACATTTCTTCTTTGTCCACATAGTCAATGATCAGTATCTAAACAGAGACATGATAAAAGAAAAAAAATAACTTTATAGACTCTCTAATAAGAAGTGTGAAGATTTTATTTTTACAGTTGAGATGCTTTCTAATTCTAAGCTTCTTTAATTTTACAGTAAATACTATGGCACTTTTTCTTTCTTTCTTTCTTTCTTTCTTTCTTTTTTTTTTTTTTTTTGAGACACTGTCTCGCTCTGTCACCCAGGCTGGAGTGCAGTGGCATGATCTCAGCTCACTGCAACCTCCACCTCCCAGGTTCAAGCGATCCTCATGCCTCAGCCTCCTGAGTGGCTGGCATTACAGGTGTCCACCACCATGCCTGGCTAATTTTTTTTTATATTCTTAGTAGAGATGGAGATTCACCATGTTGGCCAGGCTGGTCTCAACCTTCTGACTTTAAGTGATCTACCTGCCTCTGCCTCCCAAAGTGCTGAGATTATAGGTGTAAGCCACCTCACCTGGCAGATGCCTATTTTTTACATTAAAAATTTGAAGCTCTGTCTATTAAATGCATTGAGTTCTTTTGGAAAATACTATCAATGTCATGGTTATTATATTTATAAAATGTAATTGTCTCTAAATAAAAATTTTTGTTTAACAATTTTTTCCTTTAAAAAATAAAAAATTATATAATCTGCACTACTTTGCATCTTCAGATTTTACTATTTTCTCTCTGTTTTTATCCTTATTTCTTCCTACTCACTTGATATTTTTACACAAAAATGTATAACAAGAGTAAAGTTAAGAGAGAGATCTTTTTAACTTATGTATGACTTCCAGAAAAGACCATCTGAAACAGTCATACCTATATCATTCTATATCATACCTATAGATCCTAGAGAAACTCCAAGATTAGGTATAGCATAGTGTCTCTAACATGGTTAGAAAATCACCACATTATAAACCCACCAACCAAAAAGATAATTTCTCAAAGACTATGATCTAGCTATAATAAAAATCTATCAAGCCTGTACAGGTCTAAATGACCTATTGTGGAAGTTATCTTGGTTGTTCTAAAAACAACTGACTATGTAATTATTAGATATTGCAGCTAAATGTTGCATATTTAAGTTTATGCAAACACACACCATTATAAATAGACTGTTTTTTGACATGAAATTATTTACACATTAAAAAAGGAATGTAGAAAAGGAAACTGATCGCAATGTAAGGAACATAATTTGCTTAAAGCAGGTCTCCTCAGATATAAAATCAAGAACATTAACCATACTACATTCAAAAAAACAAAATATTTTAAGGATATTTTATTTCTCTTTCCAGTTCTATGCGAATTGTAATGATTATCCTCAAACCATTTTCCATTAAGTATATATGTTTATAAACACATAAATTGCAATTAATCTACAAAAATTTACTGGTTCTAAGTAACAGGGTATGTTTTAGACACTTAATAAAGTAATATCCTCAGTTCTTCTGCTTCTCTCTGTAAATTTCAACATCTCAATCAATCAATAAAAGACCTTCAAGGATCAAAGTTTCTCAGTGACCAAATGGTAGGATTACCTCAGGATTTAACACCAGGCTTGGTTAAATACAGGTTACATAGATCTCTTCTTTCTTTGGGCACAACCAGAAAGGATTCTTTTAATTATGATAGAAGAGCAACAAGTAGAAAAAAGACAGCCTCTATGCCCCTCTCAATCAACAGACAAATCAACAAACCAGACAGAATTATATGTGATCTGATAGCGTGTATTTTGTGACATCACCATCATTCTTATCCAACAATTATTGAGCATTTCCATATGCTAGGTATTGTGGTAGAAGTTTGAATATCAAAGAAGGAATAAAGAATGAATATGATTTTGCCAGATGGGCAATGGGGGCCTGCGGAGAGAGAAGGGAGATGGGAAAAGAGAGAGAAGGCATTTCAGACAGAATGAACATCACCAACAAAGTTACAGAAACGTGAAACAACATAGCAAATTCTTGAAACTGCTATTAGAACAGTTCAGATTGGTGCCTACTGCTAGGGCACAGGCTGAGAGTGATTAGGTCTTGGAAGGGCGTGGACAGAGACTACTTCATGGAGGGCCATGTGTGCCTTAAGAAAGGTTGTAGATTATCATGTAAACAATGAAGCATCAAGGGAGTGTCTTAATGAAAGAAGCCACGTTATAGATCAGAGTTTTGAGAAAATAATTTTGGCTGGGGCATGGGGTATACCTTAGAGGAGATTGACATAGAGGGAAAATATCAATTAGGAGACTATATTTAAAATTCAGAGAAGTGATATTTTTAAAGGTTCTGAGCCCAGTTTTGGATTTGTTACTCATGAGGGGCCTATTGTACATCCAACATCTACTAGAGAGATGATGGCATTTTTCAGGATTTAAAACTTTTCTGTTTAAAAATTTCTTTTCCCCTAACAGACAATTTGAAAGGAGTCATCAATATTCCCTACATTCTTGCAAAATATCTTTTTACAAATGTTACATTGAAGATGTTTGAATCCCTACTTATAGGATTCATTTGGTCCTTCACTGAAGAAAATTGCCACAAATCTCTAATTCACTGGATGGGATAGGATTCACATCGCAGATCATGAGATTCACTCTTTTAAGTGACAAATGACCGTATTTCCCCCTTATTTGGTAACTGACTCCTTCCTCCAACCGAGAGCTTGTATCTCTGTACTTAGGCTTCCCACCAAGATTACATTTGTCCACGACCTATGAAGTAATCTGAACTGTTTTGTAATTTTTAAACACCAGTATAGGAGAAAACAATGATTGGGTGTCCTCAAAATTCTGCTCAGTGGTCTGACATCATAGATATTTCCCCAGGTCTATTTCCATATTTGACCAATTCTTCTTTCCATTGAGTCATGCTGAACAAAATACATTATCTCAATAATTGCTATCTTCATCAACCTAAAATTAAATGTATCATTCCATCACTGTGGTATGATGAGAAAGAAATTCTGTCTTTTAAAAAAGTTATAGGGATACTGGTGTTAGGGAAGTTATACCGTACAAGTAGAGGAAATTTTTTTTAAGTTTTTTTTTATAATTGCAGAAAAAAGTTTGTCATAACTCATGAAACAATAAAGCCTACTTTGACAACAAAGCCTACTTTATGCCTTTTGTAAAGAAATAAAGGCAAAAGTAAGTATAGTTCCAAATACTATCATTAAAACTTGTGTCTATATTTTAATTTCTGCTTATTTAGCATTGCCTTCATACTTAAAATGTATAAAGCATCACTACTAAAAATATAGCATCTCCCTAGAAAGTGACTTTAACAATAAATAGCTTGTTATAATTAGCTAATGTTGCTTCATAAACCCAAAACCTTTTAGTAAGTTTACATTAAAACTTAAATAAGGTCTTCAGAAACGTCTGTGATGAAGATCACACAATGCAGTAATACCAAGGAGAATTGTTGACAGTAGCTTCTCACTAGTTGCCAAAGTCCATGACTGTTTTAAGATTATGGAAGGCCATTCATTTTGTTTGCATGAATTTAAAGATAATTTAACCAAATCCCCTAACAGTAGTTAATGGTTCTTAATTATATGATGTGATAAAATAGAAGAAAGCCTTGTTCGCTGAAAGGGAGTATTATTATTAAAATTGTCTAATTTTATATGACAGTAAAATTAAAAGATGACACAGTGAAGAAGGAAAAATACCCCATGGAGTGGTTAAACAACACCTAAGTTTTCACTTTTCTGTGCCAAGTTTTATTTCAGAGAAAAAGGCTCAGTTGCACAACATTTCAGGAAAACATAAAATTAAGCTTTGGAAGTAGATTTCATGGCCCAGCCCTTCTTTACTGACTTATGAAGAAGTACATTTTACATCATTGTTTGAATATGCTAGCATTTCCATGATCAAACTTTTGACTTCAAAATTGAATCGCAGTATAGTTTATTTTGAGCAATTCTAAGTGTTATACCAGTATATCCTATCAACTTTGAACAGGAATTGAGAACACACACCTGGCTTACAAGGATGCTATAGGATTTAGAACATGAACATGATACGCATATCTGAGATTGCCCTCACTATTTCTTTTGGGGGCAAGAACTCTATTTCTTTCAAACTCATGTAAATACAACAGCTAGTCAAGATTTTCCAGTCCTCTTCTGTTTGGGGACCGGAATAATTACTAGTTATTGAGTGTGAAGTGCATGTTTTACCTGAGTTTTTTCATTTGACGATCCAATCCCTATAAGACAAATGTTATGGTTATAACATCCCCATACTACAGATTAAAATTTCAAGGCTTAGAGAGGTTAAACTGTATGCTCAAAACACATGGACTGTGAAGAACAGACACAGCGTTCGAATCCCAGTTCTGTTCAACAGGGATTCAAATGCAGGTCTGTCTAATTCCAAGTCTTAGGCATATAAAACTGAATTCATATATTTTCTGCCAAATCCCCAAATCTGTCTCTATTGTGACATTTCCTACTACTACAGATGGTACCATACTTCCACTTATCTGCAAAAGCCAGAAAACAGGGATAATTTTTAACTCCTTTTTCCTCATTTTCAATAACCAATAAGTCAACATGTCCTCTCTTCTACTTTATATCTTTCAAATCCAGGTTTATCCCAACTACGTTTTCTCTACCTTAGTTCTGCTCTCATAATTCCTTTCCTGGATGGTTGTAAAAGTTCTCAACTGATATTTCTACCTCCAGTCTTACCTGTCTCTAATCTACTCTCCACACCACAATCAGAATGAGCTTTCGAAAGTACACATCTTGTCGTATAGTAATCCCAATGTAAAAGCCTTAAATAGTTCCTTAGTGCCTTGGAGATAAAGCTCAAAGCCTTCTTAGCTCTTTTAGGGTCCTTTGTTAATTGTCCCTTGCTTAACTCTCCATCCTAATCTCTCTCTACTCTTTCTCTCACAGACTACATCCCACCCCGCTTAATGTTCAATAGTTATTGAAACATTCCAGGTGATTTCTTGCCTTTATGCTTTGGTACAGATTTCCTTCCTGCTTCTTTGCAAATTTCTCCCTACTTTTTCCTAATTTTTACTTGGATAACAATTCTCCCTTCAGGAAGCATTTTCAGTATCCTCTCCTTAAACTATCTGTCTAAACTGTTACTTGCCACAGCACTGAGCTCAAAGCACTCAAAGAAAATATTGTCATTATCCAGTTAGGCTTTAAGATTCTTCCAATCCTGCCCATTTTTTTTTATTTTCTTTATTATACTTAAAGTTCTGGGATACATGTGCAGAACATGCAGGTTTGTTAAATAGGTATAAACATGCCATGGTTGTTTGCTGCACCCATCAACTTGTCATCTACATTAGGTATTTCTCCTAATGCTATCCCTCCCCTAGGCCTCCACCTCCCAACAGGCCCCAGTGTGTGATGTTCCCCTCCCTGTGTCCATACGTTTTCATCGTTCAACTCCCACTTATGAGTGAGAACATGTGGTGTTTGGTTTTCCGTTCTTCTGTTAGTTTGCTGAGAATGATGGTTTCCAGTTTCATCCATGTCCTTGCAAAGAACATGAACTCATCCTTTTTTATGGCTACATAGTATTCCATGGTGTATATGTGCCACATTTTCTTTATCTATTCTATCATTGATGGGCATTTGGGTTGGTTCCAAGTCTTTGCTATTGTGAACAGTGCCACAATAAACATACATGTGCATCTTTCTTTATAGTAGAATGATTTATGATCCTTTGAGTATATACCCAGTAATGAGATTGCTGGGTCAAATGGTATTTCACAATGATTGAACTAATTTACACTCCCACCAACAGTGTAAAAGTATTCCTATTTCTCCACATCCTCTCCAGCATTTGTTGTTTCCTGACTTTTTAATGATCACCATTCTGACTGGCATGAGATGGTATCTCATTGTGGGTTTGATTTGCATTTCTCTAATGACCAGTGATGATGAGATTTTTTTCATGTTTGTTGGCTGCATAAATGTCTTCTTTTAAGAAGTATCTGTTCATATATTTTTTCTTGTAAATTTGTTTAACTTCCTTGTAGAGTCTGGATATTAGCCCTTTGTCGGATGGATAGATTGCAAAAATTTTCTCCCATTCTATAGGTTGCCTGCTCACTCTGATGATAGTTTCTTTTGCTGTGCAGAAGCTCTTTAGTTTAATCAGATCCCATTTGTCAATTTTGGCTTTTGTTGCCATTGCTTTTGGTGTTTTAGTCATGAAGTCTTTGCCCATGCCTATGTCCTGAATGGTATTGCCTAAGTTTTCTTCTAGGGTTTTTATGGTTTTAGGTCTTACATTTAAGTCTTCAACCATCTTGAGTTAAGTTTTGTATAAGGTGTAAGAAAGGGGTCCAGTTTCAGTTTTCTGCGTGTGGCTAGCCAGTTTTCCCAACACCATTTATTAAACAGGAAATTCTTTCTCCATTGCTTGTTTGTGTCACGTTTGTCAAAAATCAGATGGTTGTAGATGTATGGTGTTATTTCTAAGGCATCTGTTCTGTTCCATTGGTCTATATCTCTGTTTTGGTACCACTACCATGCTGTTTTGGTTACTGTAGCCTTGTAATTATAGTTTGAAATCAGGTAGCATGATGCCTCCAGCTTTGTTCTTTTTACTTAGGATTGTCTTGGTTATGCGGGCTCTTTTTTGGTTCCATATGAAATTTAAAGTAGTTTTGTCTAATTCTGTGAAGAAAGTCAATGGCAGCTTGATGGGGTTAGCACTGAATTTATAAATTACTTTGGGCAGTATGGCCATTTTCACAATATTGATTCTTCCTATCCATGAGCATGGAATGTTTTTCCATTTGTTTGTGTCCTCTCTTATTTCCTTGAGTGGTGGTTTGTAGTTCTCCTTGAAGAGGTCCTTCACGTCCCTTGTAAGTTGGATTCTTAGGTATTTTATTCTCTTTGTAGCAATCGTGAATGGGAGTTCACTCATGATTTGGCTCTCTATTATTGGTGTATAGGAATGCTTGTGATTTTGCACATTAATTTTGCATATTAATTTTGTATCCTGAGACTCTGCTGAAGTTGCTTATCAGCTTAAGGAGATTTTGGGCTGAGATGATGGGGTTTTCTAAATATACAATCATGTCATCTGCATACAGAGAAAATTTGACTTCCTCTCTTCCTACCTGAATGCGCTTTATTTCTTTCTCTTGCCTGATTGCCCTGGCCAGAACTTCCAATACTATGTTGAATAGGAGTGGTGAGAGAGGGCATCCTTGTCTTGTGCTGGTTTTCAAAGGGAATGCTTTCAGTTTTTGCCTATTCAGTGCTATATTGGCTGTGGGCTTGTCATAAATAGCTCTTATTATATGAACAAAGAACAAGGACTATTAGCTTTCTAAATATCATTTAGAAGTTGGCTGTGTTTTTTAAGAGACATAGTCCCTCTCAAGTTTTTACTTGTCTTCCATCATAAAGGGAGTCAATGTCATTGCCTTCACACCAAGAGAATATGACTAGCACTGTAGCCCAACTGACCATCTTTCCAACCCTTCAAGGACTAAGGTAGTCATTCATTCCCACAGGATTCCATCTTAGCAGTACAGGGATTTAGAAGTCTCCCAATTATTACATAATTGGCTCACAGTTGGAACTGGATGAGTGTAAGCAAATCATTTGATTTGGTTCAGTTCAACAAGTATGTATTTATTGAATGCATACGATGTGCTAAGCATCAGGCAACAGAGATGAAAGAAAACTTTTTAGGAAATTACAATCTAATGATGGAGATAGATAAACATATATGACATAATGTGCTAAAAAAAAAAGAGAGAGAGAGAGAAAGAAAGAGATAACAATCTGCACAGGGTGCCACAAAACCACTTGGCTGGGCCGGGTGCAGTGGCTCACGCCTGTAATCCCAGCACTTTGGGAGGCCAAGGCAGGAGGATCACAAGGTCAGGAGACCAAGACCAACCGGCCAACATGGTGAAACCCTGTCTCTACTAAAATACAAAAAATTAGCCAGGCGTGGTGGTGCATCCCTGTAGTCCTAGCTACTCAGGAGGCAGGGGAATCGCTTGAACCTGGGAGGCAGAGGCTGCAGTGAGCCGAGATCGCACCACTGCACTCCAGCCTGGCTACAGAGCGAGACTCCAAAACAAAACAAAACAAAATAAAAACCAACCACTTGGCTTTATCTAAGAGTTGTTCATAGATTTCCTGGAAGTGATAGACCTGACTTAATTTCAGGAAAAATGGATGAGCCTGGTCCGTGGGGAAGATGAGAAGGTTCCCCCAGACAATGAAACAAAATGAAGTAAAATACACAAGTGTAGTCACAATTTGGTCCCTCTGAAGTAGACACTAAGTACAAGATGCTCATGAGAATTAATACCTGTGGAAGTGAGTAGGAAGAAGCAGGATTGGGCAGAGGGAGAAGTTGAGGTGTGACACTAGTGGTCTACCAGCACCATGGAGGGACTGCAGCCAGACCTTAGATCCCTTCCTGGCTCTGCCACTGCATGCAATATGACAAGAAAATGTGACCCTGGGCAGGGCTGCAGGCTGAAGCAATTGGCAGAGAATTGACTGAAAGGCAGCTAGGCAGCAAGTCCTTCCTTGAAGGGGTCCAGCATGGTGCATCTCTGCGTCTGCCACAAGTGTGAATCTAGGTCCAGTATTATTAGACTATAAATTTCCATCTGGAGACTGGTATAAAAAGTGGCTGAAAAGACAGATTTTTCAAAGACACATTCTCAAAATGATATGCTAGCACTTCTGGGGGAAAAAAACCACTTATACAAATTGCTTCCTAATGCTGCACTCAGTGACATAGCTTTGTATCTTGAAATCAGCTTTCTTGAGAATATCTCCACCACAAAAACAGTCAGAAGTTACAAATCAGAGCCTTACTGTTTTGAGAGCCAGTTTACCAGCACAAGACTTTACCATTTCCCTTCCTGTGTCTATAAACCCACATCTGAACCACGATGAATAGAAACCCTGGGTAAGAAGGCACTCCACAACCTGCTCAAAATTGGAGAGATTATAGGCCAATAAGCCCCATCTCTTTATACTGAGAGAAGTAAAAACTCTTCACTTTTCCACCTTCTAATCCCTCCACTAACCTCACTTCTGCCTTAGTAAGGTGGAGTCTCAAAGGATAATTCATTCATTGCAACTATTCTGTTTTCACAGCTATTCAAGAACATGTATTGAAGGCCTACTATGTGCCAGGAACTAAGCTAGGGACTAGAAGAACCAATTAAGAGCATGCAATTGTATACAAACAGACTTAATTCCTGTTCTTAAAGTTTTTTAGTTGAGTGGGAAATAGAAATATACCTCAAATAAATCATGAAATAAATATATAATCACAAATGGTGATGAATACTATGAAGAAAATATGGAGAATGATAAACACTTAAAATCCCCGATAGTTTAACCTTATGGGTCACTTACAATAGCATAAAATAAAGCGTTCTTGTTATTAGACCCTACAAACTAAAGCAAGTGATAACATACAGTTTTATAGAAAGCCAATCATCATATTCTGTCTTAAGTTCCTGTCTTATCTTAGTTTCTTCTAACTAAGTGCCTTGAAGATTATTAGCTAAAATCCCCTGGTTAGGACAAAACAATTGGCAAAGAAAATGCAGCATCTCAACCCTAAATTCACATTCCTAGGCTTATTATCTAAAAAAAAGTGAATTTTTTTCACTAACATTATTTTAGGGAAAAAAATAATGCTTGTCCTTGGAAAAGGCTGAGACTTATGTCTGATCTATACCTAACAACATATAAAAGATAAATTTGCCGTCTATTCATAACATCACATTTCCTATGATAAATGATAAGCATACAATGAAAGCATATAGATAATGCTTAGTGTGCCCTGTTTTAGAGTGTTTGGAAAGTAACACTTTCTATGTGCAACTCCACAATTATGTGCTCATGAATTCTGATCAGATCAAAAATAATTAATCCAGGACAATCTGCCTGTACCTCTCTTATAGTCAAGTTTTAGATTGAACAAGATTTTGCCACTTTTATCATCTATCATCTTCACCACAAAGTCATTATAAAATGCATCTCTAGTATCAGATAAAAATTTATAGGTGTTTCCACTGTAGGTTGCACCAAAGAGTTAAAACTTCTCAACACATTATACATATATTCATACATAGGGCCAAAGGGATACCATTCTCATTTTTCATCATCAAAGCATTTATAAGATTTCTATCTTCTTTTGCTTTTGTGACCTCTAGCCAGAAAGGCCAAAGTAAATAAAGGTCAAGATAGATGTCAAATCAAGCAATTACTAAACAGGGAACTTGGCTGTGACCCTCAGATTAGAAATGGTGACCTGTCACAGCAACAGGGGAAAACCCTCCTGCAACTCCTCTCCCATCTATGAAATACAATCTAGATTTGCAGCCTAGACTGAAAAAAAATTGATACCTTTCATTTGCGTTTTAATCTTTTCCACCCTTCATATTGGGGTTGTCCTCCCATTTTCTCCTTAGCTGTCAGCTCTGAATCATAGACATTTGAGAGAAAAAATTAGTGGGCATCTGTGCTAGGGAGGGAAATCATACCTATCATGAAAAATGAGAATGAGCCAGCCCAACACAAAATGTTGTAATATCACTTTTATTCATACAACTTTATTTGGAGCTGCATGAAAATTAGACAATTTGTGTAATAGCAGTGATTTCAGTCAACAATTCTCATATTTTTTTCTGTAATGGGCCACTTGTAGGAACAAATTTTTGGAATATTCTTTGGGAGGTGAGTAAAATTTCCAAATTCACTTACATATGTGACCCTCGATTCATGTTATTTCTACAATTTCATTTTTTCCTCTTTGGCCCCCCAAAACTGCGACTCTTCACCCAGCTGCCATGTTGAAAATACTGTTTTTATTACCCATGTCTAACACCACAACCCACATTCACTGCTGAATTCTTCTACCTTCTTAAACCTGTCATTTTTCAAAAGACCTGTATTTGTCCTTTTTTTATTGTAAAAAAAAGAACATGAAAAAGATTTACTCATGAATTTTGAGTTGAGGCAGAACAAAAAAGAGAACTTTAAGTCAAAGTAATAGTTTGATAGAGAGTCTTACAAAGAGGTTCTTTGCTTTTTCTTTTACAGCTTGACTTTCCACAATTCACAAGGGAATACTGCCGATTAAATAAAAAAAATTTAAGCCATGTTTTCTAGTAAATAATTAAATTCAATTAGAAGTTAATGAATTTTCACTGTTAAATGTAATTATTTTCAGAAAAAATTAATAGTCAAATAAATATATTTTAAAATCTGATTTTGAAATAAACTGATAGAAAAACTATGAGGGGTAGAGACTAATTAAAAAACAAACAAACAAACCAGAAAATGACATAACCATCACTCTGTTATTGGAACATAAGCCTGGAAATCCACTGAGGAAGAATTATCCAGAAAAAAAAAAGAAACTTGGAAAGTAAAGTCTCATTTTTCAAAAATTCTTACATTAGTAAACTTCAAATGTGGACCTTAAAGCAAGAATATAAACACATTACTATAAGGTCATTTTCATTTAGAATTTCATTTAAACCCAAGTCTTCACTGAAAAAAACAGTAAAGTTTAAGAAGTAATTTGAAGACTTTCTGAGCTGCACAATTCAGATACATGAAGCATGAGGATAAGTTTCAACATCAAGGTAACAGCCAACGTGCTTAAAATTCTGTATAAACCACACCTTTTAGGTCAAATTATTTTTTGCTGCTATGTTCACTGCTTTCACTTACTTGCCCAAGGATTCTGATCAGAGATTTTAGTGGCACATTTGGCCTATTATTATTATTAGTTCTTCTAGTTACCAAAGAAGCTAAAGCAGTGCATGCACTATTAATGGTCGGTTTGGAGAGTGTGATAGCCCCCAAGTGTTCCTACATGGATTACTCTAACTTCGGAATACTATTTATTCCAAAAGTATCAAAACACAGGTGATTGCAGGGGTGAACTCCTGGAAATTTAAAGTTGTTTCTTTGGGGAAAAATCATCTTGATTTCTACTACACACATTTACATCTTCAAAATTCCCAGATTTGAGGCTAAACAAAAGAACTTAGCTAACTACCACCTTGAATTACTCTTATTTCTTCATTGTGTCTGCGGTTAATGAAACTGTGAATGAATAAGACTGAAGATGCAATGGTGATGGCTTGACGTATTTTTTTTTTGTTTTCTTAAGGGGTGTGGCCAGATTTAAAAAAAAAAAAAAAACTTGTGTACTAAAAAATAATTGTCTAAGAGTGAGAACCTGTCATTTAAATAGGAGTGGATTCCCTCTAAATTTCACCCTAGTGGCTCTTATGAATCATAGAAAATGGGCAACTCCCTGTGGCTAGCATTCCTTCTTTCCACCTTTAATGACGCCAATTAGCCTGGGTGGGGTTAACAGAGAGGTTACCTTACATATGAGGCCATTTTAGTAATAAGTTTCCCTTGGAAAAGGGTCTGTAGGCTTCAGGCAAACTAAAAATAAAGTTAGACAGCTTAAGGATAGGGAAAAGTTAGACTTCAAAATTAGAAAAATACGTAAACATTACTAATCAGTGTTTGTTCATAGTATCTTCTTCACACTTTTTGAAAACTCTGAAAATCACTCAAGAAGACATAATAAATTTCTCTGCAATTATCACAGAGCACTGAGAATAACAAAAGTGAGTTAACTTGTTTGTTTTAAGCCCCTATCCTTTCTGGAAGTATGGTTCTCAAGGAACTAGACAAAACATGATTATTGCATTACATATCTAAATGAATTTAGAAGACTATATTTCTTCATAATTAGTCATTTTCATCTTGTCCTAAAGTAATATATTTGTTCAACAACACCTTTAATAAATTGGGTTTTATATACAATATTTTTTCTAAAAACCTATAAACACCCCACAAATCAACGTCCATTCTTTACCAAAATATCCTCAGAACCAATCTTTAAATATGCAGTGAAAATCCAGACTTGTAATAATCTTGGACAATTTCTGAGATAAATTCATTTGATCCTCCAACAGCCTTATAAAGTAGGAAAAGTTGGTAATTTTTCCATTTTAAAGATGAGAAAATTGAGATGCAGAATGATTTTGCCTCTGGCCTCAAGCTAATTATTGAAAGAGTGGGTTTGATTCCAAGCCTCCTGGATTCCCATATCCCCCTTCATGTTCACCCTCTTAATATGTAATTCATACCCCCAATTTTTTATGTAGTTTGTTTGTTCTTTAGAAATTCAGAGAAAGCACATGTAAGTTGTTTAAGACTTCACAGGGACAGAGAGCTTTAAGCAAAGCCTTAAAAGTGGGACCAGGGGCTGGGCGCGGTGGCTCACACCTGTAATCCCAGCACTTTGGGAGGTCGAGGTGGGCGGATCATAAGATCAGGAGTTCGAGACCAGCCTGACCAACATGGTGAAACGCTGTCTCTACCAAAAATACAAAAATTAGCCAGGCATGGTGGCGCATACCTGTAATCCCAGCTATTCCGGAGGCTGAAGCAGGAGAATCCCTTGAACCCGGGAGGCAGAGGTTGCAGTGAGCTGAGATTGCGCCACTGCACTGCAACCTGGGCGACAGAGTGAGATTCCGTCTCAAAAAAAAAAAAAAAAAAAAAAAAAAAGTGGCATCAGGTAAGCTAGGTGAGGGGACAGAAGAAATGCCTGCCAGAAGGGGAAAAACAATAGTTACATTAAAAATACCTACAAAGACATTTTTAAGCACATGATTTTATCAGACAATGAGCACTTAAACTACATTATCTTTTACTTCTCACAATAGATACTAAGTTAAATACTTCCTATTAGGAAACAGGCTTAGAAAACTTTTTTTTCTTTTTCTTTTTCTTTTTTTTTTTTTTTTTTTTTTTGCCCTAGGTCACGGACTTGGGAAATGACCTAAGCAGGAGCTGAATTCCATCCCTGGTCTGTTTGGCTCCCAAGCCATGCTCTTAACCTCTATATTCTAGTACTTCCGGAGAAAAGTCATGAGAATGAGCAGGGCATATGTGAAGATAGCCTGACTGAAGAAGAAGAGTTCATGTTGAGTGTGGAGGAAAACAAAGGTCAACAGGCAGATTGGGACCAAGTTAGAGAGTGCCTGGAAACTCACGAAAAATTAGATTTGATGTAATAAGAAATGAGACTTCCTTATAGAATTTTTGAACTGGAAGAAGGATGATAAATGGAAGTATTCAAAGACGTTTCTTTTATGGCAGGAAGATTTGGAGAGAGTACATGATGACAATAAGGGTACAGTTGGGAAACTAATCTAATGGTTCAAGTATGAAATGATGAAGACCTAATCTGGAGTGGTCAATGTGATCATGAGTCAAAAGAACGAATCAACATAATTTTGTAACTAATTAGATGCAAGGACTGAAGCAGACGAAGGATGAGTCAAAGATGACTGGATAGTTTCAAGCCTGGGGACTGAAGAGGTGGCGCCACGAAGAGTTAAAACGAGGAAAGAACATGCGGTGGGAGGGCATGAGTTTATGTTTAGGTATGTTGAATTTTAGTGACTGCTGAGTAGGGACTTGGACATGGAATTCATGTTCAGAACACAATACATAGCCATTAGAAACAGGGCACTGTGCAATAATAAAAGTCATCTGAATTTACTAGTGAAGAATATGAAAAAGAGAGAGTAGAACTGAGAATTTAGGCTATGGAGTTTCCACAAATAAGCACTCATGAGAAGAATGAGGAGGCATTCAGGAAATAAGGAAGACCAGTCAGTTTCTTCCTTTTATGGGGTTTACAATTTACTTGAAGAGGCATCATTAGCATACACGAAGTAACATCAGTGTAATTTTTCACCTCCACTGGAATTTAAGCTCCAGGAGAGCAGAGACTACTACCTAAAATAAGATGTAGCATATTTTAGGAATTCAATCTCTATTTCTTGGAGAAATGAATCATTTATTGTCCTATATGTCTCAGCAATTCGCATAGTGCCTGGCAAATAGCTGATGCTCAGTAAATTTTGTTGAACAGAATTAAACTAATAATTTTATCTTTATTCCTAAGGAGATCTTATCTTAAATATTGTTAACTAAGAGCTTTCAGACAAGTAAACTAAGTATTCAAAGAAAAGACACATTTTTGAGCCACTATAAATAAAAAATCATAGAGAAAGTGATATTTAAACTGGCCTGGAAAAAAAGGAAAAATCTAAAATAAACAAAAAAGGAGGAAGAACAGGAAAGTAATAGTTACTAAGGCAAAAAGGCAGAAATATATTTGAGATATCTGTACATCAGTTAAATTTTTATATGAATGAAGGATGTGAGTCAGGGAACCATAAGAAATACCATCACTGAGGTTGTGGTGCATAGTAACCGAGAAGTATACTACACACATGTATGACTGACTATAGATAATAAGAGTGAGAAATGAGTTGAAGACCATGCAAAGGTCTGTGACCTGGGTGACTGTAAGAATGAGGGCACTGAGAGTTCTGGTGGAGTAAAAGATGTGTTGATTTTAAACATGGATGCCTCAAGGTCTCAATCAGGAATCATTTTCACTCAAATCAACTCAAGTGAAAATGGGGCTCATTAAAGATAAAACAAAATTTTGTAGATAACACAGAAAAGAAAAAAATGTACGGCTTGGCCACATGAGGGCATTCCATCTGGAAAGTGAGGAAGTAAAGCTGATGGTCCTTTCCTGGGTCCTTGTCTGGCAGATCTCTCAGCTCTGATTCTCTGGTCCATTTTCCTCTGCTTTTTCAAGGCATCTCTGCTCCCCCAAAACTTTCAGCTTGAATGTGATTTTAGCTTGCCATGATGCCAACTCTACATGAACATCCAATTTTTTTTGTTTTAATTCTGAAAAGTGTCAAAGTTTATCACATACTTTCACAAGAAAAGTGCTATCATTGCTCTATTTTCTTGTGAAACTATATGAAGTCAATAATTATCCAAGTAAGCAAATGCATTTTATGTTTACTATCAACTTGAAGTATACATATGGATTAATTATCCCTTCAATTTTATACTCATTCATGTATTGCCTGTAAAGGCCTACTTTTTAAGTCCCATATTAACTAATATCAAAGTCAACAGATATAATTCATTTCATCATTGACAGCAATAGCCTAAAATGTATTAGAAAATAATCATTGAAATGCATCTGAAAGAAGAGATAGAAGTGACTGAACTGTTTAACTCACAAACCACAGCATGAAAAATTGAATAACCCAGAATTTGGTTAAATAAGAATAGCCCAGTAGCATTGAACACTCAATAATTTCATCTTTTTTTATCTTAGGTGGCTTTATTTTATATCCTTTCAATAAATGAAGTTAAATGTTTTCTCAATTAAGATCCACCAATGGTCTCTGAAAAAGCATGGGAAGAAGTGGCAAATAGGCTGAGTGAATGTTCCTGAACTCTTATGTAATAGAAATTGGTAATTTATATCCCATGATATATGACTGATCTTAACTAATGTCTGCATTTGCTTTTCTAAGGAAAGCCAAGATTGATTTTAGTCATTTAAAAGAGCAAGAGAGATTCAAACATGCCTTAGATTTCAAATGTTTGTTTTAACATTTAACAGGTACTATAATAAAAGATTCAGAAGAAAGAAGTTAATGGAGTATGAAAATAAAGAATTGTCTGTAGAGAATCACTTTGTGATATTTCTCTTCTTCGTGAGCTTTAATAATCCAGAGTTAACTTTATTATCTTTACATTCTGCTTGAAATATGCTAGCAGCTACACTACCAAATATAAAGCAATAATTGAACCTGAGTGCCACCAAGATACAAGTAGGCAAGTCAAAGACAATAAGAAATGATAAATATGAAGTATTTATTCCACTGAAAATGGGTTTTCTGACAAATGCTGTGATTTCCTGTTCCTCTTTAGAGGTTCATAAGATAGATCTTACAAACTGATCTATATTCGCTAAAAGACAAAAATGGCAGCCCTCATTTGCCCAGTACACATCACCACCCACACTGGAATTAAGGTATAATCTCTATAAACTGAATTTAAAAACCTATAAAAAATGGTAACTAAATAAGCAGAGCCAGTCAAAATCTTGAAGGGATTTCATGGCTTCAGGAAAGAGGTGAGGCTCCACCTACACAAAAATTCTCTCATTTGTGAGCCAATTGTCTGAAATTTCGTTACCAGAATTTTATCCCTCTAGTTGACAACTTTGATCCTTATGAAAGTGTTTATTCTTCTGTTGGGGATAATAATTCTCCCTGTTCCCAGAGACAAATCCTGACTACTTAATTTTGCCAGGTCTAGTTTTGCCTGTGAGCTACATCTTTTGCACATGACATGGTCAAGTCCAGCAAATACTTCAGGACAAAAGGTCAAAGATATCTCTAAATTGTGGGCTGGAAAAACAAACTATATCAAATATTAGTCTGAAATAGTTTCATAGAACTTATGTTTATAAATATTTCATAAGAACTAGCTGAGACCATTTTAGTTTTATTAAGTTTTATTAAGCTACAAACTGTGAACTAGTGTTTTTGTATTATTCTGTGGTACACAAGGCCATTGGATCCAAATTTTAGACTAAAAGAAGAAATTTTCTTTAAAATATAATTAAAATTATATGTATTTAAATTTTACAGAAAGGCAGAAGATACTACCAATGCCTAATCCTCCTTCAAATAACAACTTTTTTCATTCTTCATATACGCCTGTGATAATCCATGTAGGAAAAATGATAAAAGACCACATTGATGTTTTCTAAATATGAAGAAAATAAAGGACAATTAAAATCAGTAAGTTTATCATCATCAACAGCAAAAAACACACATATATAATTGGCCTAACCAGGTAAGACCTGCTTTGTTGTCTTATATCGTATTGCAAAAACATAAAGGTCATCAATACCTAGTTGTACCACAAGTATTTTCTAATTGGTTCACTTATCCCCTATTTACCTCCTGACAATTTGTAAAAGCCCATCTTTATGTTCCTTTTATAATTTCAACTTTTATTTTAGATTCAGAGAGTACACGTGCAGGTTTGTTCCTTGGGTGTATTGTGTGACACTGAGGTTTGGAGAACAAATAATCCTGTCATCTAGGTACTGATCATAGTACCCAATAGGTAGTTTTTCAGCCCCTTGCCCCTCCCTCTCTCCCCTCTAGTAGTCCCCACTGTCTATTGTTGCTATCTTTATGTCCATGTGAACTCAGTGGTTAGCTCTGACTTATAAATAAGAACATGCAGTACTTGGTTTTCTATTTCTGTGTTAATTTGCTTAGTATAATGGCCTCCAGCTGCATTCATGTTGCTGCAAAGGACATGATTTTATTCTCTTTTATGGCTGCATAGTTTTTCATGATGTATGTGTGCCACATTTTCTTTATCCAAGCCACTGTTGATGGGCATCTAGGTTGTTTCCATGTCTTTCCTATTGTGAATAGTCCATAAACATACAAGTGCATGTGTCTTTTTGGTAGAATGATTTGTTTTCCTTGGGTATATACCCAGTAACGGGATTGCAGGATCAAACGGTAGTTCAATTTTAAGTTGTCTGAGAAATCTCTAAACTGCTTTTCACAGTGGCTGAACTAATTTACATTCCCACCAACAGTGTATAAACGTTACCTTTTCTCCACAGCCTTGCCAATATGGTTTTTTTTTTTTTTGACTTTTTAATAATAGGCATTCTGACTGGTGTCAGATGGTATCTCATTATGGTTTTGATTTGCATTTTACTGATAATTAGTAATGATGAGCATTTCCTCATGTTTGTTGGCCACTTGTATGTCTTCTTTTGGGAAGTGTCTGTTTGTATCCTTTGCCAATTTTTTAATGGGGCTATTTGTTTTTTGCTTGCTGAATTTTTTAAGTTCCTTATGGATTCTGGAAAATAGACCTTTGTCAGATGCATAGTTTCAAATCCTTTCTCCCATTCTGTAGGTTGTCTGTCAATAGCTTTTGTGTGTGTGTCTTTTTTGTTTGTTTTTGCTGTGCAGAAGCTCTTAATTAGGTCCCACTTGTCAATTTTTGTTTTTGTTGCAATTGCTTTGGAGGACTTAGTCATAAACTCTTTCCCATACCAATGTCCAGATTGGTATTTTCTAGGTTTTCTTCTGGGATTCTTGTAGTTCTTGGTCTTAAATTTATATCTTTAATCCATTTTGAGTTAATTTTTGTATATGGTGAAAGGTAGGAGTCCAATTTCATTTTTTTGCCTATGGCCAGTCATTTATCCCAGCCCCATTTATTGAATATAGAGTCCTTTCCCCATTAAAACCCCATCTTTAAAGTGTTAAAGTTTTTCTGAAGATAAAACATTATCAGGTTCAATTTAATCTTTTAGGACAGAAACAATTTTGTTCATTGTTTCTTCTGATTTCAACAGTAAAGAATACAAACATACATTACTATTTCTATATGAATAAATGTGCCAATATGCACTGATAGCAGATCTTTAATGTAAGCTAGTCCAGTATAAAAGCAGAGATTAGCTCTCCATTAGCTCTCCATTTACCACCAATATTCAGATATCACTAACAGTTTTAAGGTATCTACTCAATGTGAAAATCTCAATTATATTATCTGAAATTATTTGAATTAAGAAGGAGCCTTGAGTGAAGTAGCTTCATAAAGCAAGTGTGTATTGGTTTGATGGACTCATTCAGTGTTGAGTAAATATTTGATCAAGTTATAAGATTTATATTTCAATCTATTCCATGTCTTCAATTCTGTAAATGTAGTTTATAAAAAACCTTATAATATTTTTGTACTTAATGATTACAGAACCTGGAAAAGTCATGTAATTTCTCTGACTCTCACTTTTCCCATTCATTCATTGAAGAAAATAAATCACAGCATTTTATATGGATTAAAATAAATGAAATATTAAAGTGCCTATTAAAAAATAAGTTTTTAGTAAATATTTACCTTTATTATTATAAATGTCAAAATATAGCATTTCAGAGGAAAAATAAAAGTAGCATGATAATATTACTTTTAAACCCAGGAATTGAAATCACATACATTCTTGGGCTGTCTTCTTTTTCCTTCCTTAGAACTACCCAGGGATCCATGTAAATCTAACAATTTCACTTGTTCTTATATACCTGCATGAGCTTGGGGTATAGACCAGAGGATCTATTGACCTTATGGTCTCTTAATTATGGATTTGGTTTCATAAAGTGATACCAAACTAGAGAGTATCAGTATTATACTGCCAGAGCTATGTTGATGACCTTTCCTCATTTAAATCTGGACTGATTAAACCTTAGATAGCTGCTGATTACTTGTTTTTGACTCTAGGATTGCTGAGAAGAAGATTGATCCTGTTTCAAGAGTAGTCTGCATCTTGTCTACCACTTATATAACACATTAAATACCTTTTTTCTCTCCAGTTCTCCTATCACTCTAACTTTACCTTCTAACATAGTGCTAGATGCATCCTAACCCTCTAAGTCTGCTAATCACACACTGTCTTCTCCTCTCACAACCTACAAGTTAACTTCAAGCACTTATTACACAATTTGATCTTTTCTTTCTATTATTTCAGTAAATCGAAGGCTCCACTTTGAAGGATCCTCCTCTTAAAATCCTTTCCCCTGGACCTTTTCATTAATATATTCTATGGTCCAAGTTGTAACCTGGGTGGTATTCAAAATAGCAATGATGACCACTATAATTTTGGTATTTATGGATAATAAAATGAAAAAATACAGGCCAGGATTAACCTTAACAATATAAAAACAAACAAGCCAGGTGCAGTGGCACACAACTATAGCTTGGGCCCCAGAATTCAAGACTGCAGTGAACTACAATCACACCACTGCGCTCTAGTCTGGGCAACAGAGCGAGATTCCATCAATAAACTTTTTAAAAATTTTTTTAATAAAATAAGTAAATAACCATGCTTAAGCATAATGCAAAGGGTCTTGATAATAATAAAACTCAGATAAATTGAAGATGAAAATAACTTTTATCTGTAATTTAATGTTAGTTCCAAGCTTCAACAGAAAATGTCATCTTATTGTATAGCTTGGTCAAACTTTGAAGAAATAAAAGGAAATGATACATGCAATCTCCCCACAAAAGCTAATTACCCTCAATGAGTTTTCCATAGGCTACAGTATTAACAGCTTTTCGTAGACTACAGTATTCCTTTTATTAAGAAATAAAAGGAAATGATACATGCAATGTCCCCACAAAAGCTAGTTACCCTCAATGAGTTTTTCGTAGGCTACAGTATTAACCTAGTTAACCCATCTTTCATGAGCTTGTTGCAGAAATGAGGCCTGGCCAACCATCTCTGCATGTGTTTGGTTGCCTGTACATGCTTGCTTTTGTGGTTGAAACTCAAGTGCTTCCTCCCACACAATGGAACAGAAAATACTTTCATTTCCTGAAAAGGTAAAGTATCGGCAAAATTTCATATTTATTTTATATATTTGTTTTCTTTTATTTAGGTTTACATTTACCTATTTGATAGATTCTTCTATTTCTATCTTAGCAGAATCAGAAGTTTACATTTATTTAACCAGTTTCTCAAATTTGCCGAGTATCATTTACATATTTTTAAAAACTATTCATCTACACAAGTTCTCTGGGTTTTGCCTAAATTCTCTAAATATTTTCTGAAAATAGGCAAAACAAGGTAACCAAAATCTATCTTTTGTGATTTGTAGTCTCAGTCTAACATATACTTCAATTTGGCCAAAGTATGTTTTTGTTTTCCTACTACATACGGAGCAAGGCAACATTTTAACATTTATTTATGTTAAGCCTCAATATAAAAAGGATTTGAGTAGTTTACAAATGACAATGTAATTATATAATAGTAATACACACCTACATTATGTGCCAGGGAGTGTTCAAAGATTTCTGCATGTATTATTTCATTTAATTTTCCTATGACCTTATGAGGTCTCTCTATTGTTACCCTCCTCTATTACAGGAGAGAAAGCTGAGAGAGGCTAACTAACTTGCCCAAGATAAAAAATTGAACAGCAACTAGGATGAGATTTGAACCCTAGTGGTCTAATTCTAGATCCATGCTCTTGCCATTAATGACAGAGAAAGAAAAGATAGCCAGGGTTAAAGTCAGCATAAGAAATGTGCATTGAAAATGTTGTCTAACAGCAAAAAGTAAATCAGACATTTGGCTCTGATTTTCTGGAAATCGAAGAAAGAAAACGACATTATCAGGAACAAAATACACAGTGCCCATAAAATAAAAGACATATCAACAACTCAGAAGACACTTGGCTTCTCCTAGCTCTAAAATCTGGTGGACATTATGAGAAAAAAAAAGAGTATTCTAAAAATAATAATAAATAAACAAAAAATGGAGCACCTACTCAAATTGCCCTAGAAGAAAACTCAGGGAATAACACCAGAACCTAGCTCAGAGGAGGCACATTTTTTAATGCTCCCAAGCAATGTTATCCAAGTAGGTATGCCTGATGATGTGGCTTGATCCCAGAGTAAAATTTAGATTATCTCAAGGAATGTATAGACTACATCTTCTATGGCAATCTTCCCACATATAACAATATGGAATCTCAGAAGTTACTGAACATCTCATGAGTTAGGAAGCAAATACTAATGTTACATTCACTGGTAGGAGAGATGGACCTATTTTATCCTGCTGACTTGGAACATAGCTATCTAGTCAATTGTTCAGCAAAGCAGAAGGTAGGAAGGACACAAATCACTTAACTACTCTAAGTTTCAGTCTCCTCAGCTGTAAAATAGAGAATAATAGTACCTCCTTCATCATGTTACCGTGAGGATTAGATAAAAATCATGTACAAAAAGCTCTTAGAATGGTGTCTGGTACTATACGCTGATTAAAATGTTAATTGTTACCAATAGTAGGACTACTCCTAAACCCATATTTAGAAACTCTAAGGTGGCCCTTCAAAACTTTATAAAACCTAGCAAATTGGAACCGAATATTATGGCTTAAGGAATTAAAAGTAAAATCTTCATTTTGTCCCAGGAATTAATTACTACTCAAGATCCAGCTCTGGAAAATTATATGTAGATTTTGTGATCTTTGTTACTTTTTCAAAATGTTTTAAATTAGGTTTAAATTTTTGTGAAAAAAGTAATGATTTTTTTTCTTTAATTTAGTTGTCTAGACAAAATTAAACTCTTGAACCTTTTACTCAAGTGAAGATGTATTTCTGTCCAAACTGGGACATTGTTGAGAGTGAAGTGGGGCTGAAATAATTAAGTGCCATTAATTGATCTACAGCAGGTGTAAACTGGGGTATTCCAGCAAATGAAGGATATGTTCACTTTGCTTATGCTTTATTCTATACATGTCAATAATAAAGAATAAATGGTTTTGCATTATCCTTAAAAGACATTTGCAAAGGCCAATTAAACCAGCATTTTTAATAAAATCATAATCATATTTTATGTCAATGTATTAATCTCCAAAACAAATCAAGTATTACCACTTAGATGCAGATTCAAATATATCCCAACACTTTGTGCAAAAGATAAGACTTTATAATAAATTCCAATAGATTATAGTGCTCATTAGTTTGATGTCATAACTGGTCATTTAATATTATTCATATTTATTTTAACATCTATTTTTTTCTTATTTGTAGCATTTATGGACAGATAAATGCCCAATATAGCCCTTCAGAGATTGTGTAAACATGTATAATAGAATCAGACATGTCTCATTCCTTCTTTTTTTTTTCTTTGAACATGCTAATTCAAGGAAAAAGAAATGTTTCCAGATTATTTAAATCAAATTTTTCTCTATAACAGGCTTTTTGTGTTTGCATTGCCATCCCTCTGGTTTATTCTTTCTACAGTCTTCAAAATCTCATTATCACTTAAATAGACAAATCATAACGAAAATTAAATATTTATCTAACTTTTCAGATTAGTGATATTTGAAAAAATTTAAAAATAAATATAGAGTAATAGGACAATGAGAAAAATTGAAAAATAATATATGTAACCAGTAAGTCATACCAAAATATTTCCTGTGCATAATTTTAAAATATAATTTATATTCAAATGTTTAAAAAGTATCTTTTGCAGAATATTAATAACAATAGTAATAGAATAAATAAACTATGTCCCAATTGAATGAGATTTTACTTTGTGTCAATAGAAATTAATTGATAAGGGATTTACAGAAAAAAAAGAAACTGATATTTCAAGGGGAAAAAATATAGCAAAAAAAATGAGCTATCATGTAGTTATTCTTGCAAACCATGGATGCCATTCCCAACTTCACTTCTAATCTTTGAACTACAAGTATAATTCCATGCTCAACACTTGCGATGTCGGTCTTTTCTGTGAGAACCTGAGCTCTGTGAGAGCAGGAACTGTTTGTTCACCACAATATCCTCAGGACATTACAGGGCCTGACATTTATTAGGCACTCAATAAACATTTGATTGATGAATATAAAGCCCAACATTTAGGTTCCACACTTCAGTATCTAAAGTCTAGGATCATCATAGAGTTCATTCTACTAACAAGAGTGCTCACTTTAATACTAATTATAACCCACTATTTATTGCAAATTGTTTTTCCCTGCAGAAGAATGTCTAAGTCAATCTTCATTGTGTATCTTTGCATTTCATGGTTTGCTTGCATGAGTCTTCCTCCTATATTACCTTAAATCATACCAAAATAAAATTCCTATTTTTCATATTTTTGACAGTTTTTCTTTTTTTAATTTTCAAATTCCCTATTCCAAGAAGCAAGATTTTTAATATTTTTAAGAGGGAGAAAATAATATAATGTTCAAAGACATCACAGCTATCTGAGTATATGTATAACTAAAAATAATTTTTTTTTCTCAAAATATCAAGTAATTGTTGTTCTATACAGTCTAATGTTTTAGTACTGGAAATACCCAGAGAGACTCTTAATCCACTGGGTTAGTGAGAGATCTATGAATAGCTCTTATTCATCAGTCTCAAACAGGATAATTGACTGCAGAGCCCAAGACAATAAAAGTTTGTAAGAGGATGTGGCAAGGTGGTAAAGGAAGTAACTTAAGATATTCACAGACCTTGTGAATAGCAGATTTTTGAGAGGAAAAAAAACACCCTTGTAGGTTCCTTGGATAATCTCTTAAACATACAAATAAGTGACTAAGAGAAAATCAATTTAGCAATGGATGAGGCATTTTTCTGTGGCATTTTGGGGTCATGTTAAAACTGGTGAGAATTAAACCTAAGTCTCAAGGGTCTCATCTACAAAGATAGGAATAAATGAAGAAGAGACCAAGTGACTGAGAAGACTAGTGGGTTGGGATTTTAATCGCTGGCACCATGTAAGATTTCCTTTTGCTCTGTCATGCCATGAAGGGATTAAATTACTTCTGTTTGTGAATTTCACAGGCTCCAGGTGGATTTTAATGGATTTCAGATGATTTTATTACAGTGCTGAGAAAATAATCCACATTACTGAAAGCATAAAACCAAATGGACAGTTTTTGCAACGTATTTCCATTCATTCATAAACTACTATGACAATACTACTCATTGTATCTCCCAAAATCTCACATAAAAATGATTACTCATGGCAAAATTATATTGACAAATTAATAATACAAGCTATTTACCTTTATAAAAAAATATATTACTTTTTAAATTTGATCAACTTCTAAATGGAATATCAAAGAAATGTATCAATATACTACTGTGGAAGAAAATAACTGCATTTTAAGTTACCAAAAACCAAATTATGAATAAAAAGATTTTCAACTGACATTGCTAGTTTCAGGGGAAAAAAAATTCAAGTTTCTACATATATAAATTTGAGCATATAAAAATTCAAGTTTCTACATACATAAATGTGAGTATATAAAAATGGTGCTTACAAGAGTAATCGCCTCATTTGTGGGCTTGTTTTGAAGACAACTGTGTATATGCAGCCAGATTCTATAGACTTCTGATGGATTCATTAATAATTATTGGATGCTAACATGTGCCATTTACTATGTTAATTTTTGCAGTAATATGAGACATGCTCTTGCACTTCATCTGCTGGAAGGGAAAGGCGAGAGTGATAAACAGGCAATGACAATACAGGACTATAGTGTTATAGAAGTTAGGCAAGAGTTAAATGCAGGGCACTGTGGGAGCGCATTGAAGAGTGCCTGGCCAAGAAGAGTTAGGGATACGGAGAGACTGGAAGTTCAACAAGGTTTCCTGGAAAGGCTTCCTGGTAGAAGAAAGAGAGGGGCTACTTACAGAGAAGTTCACATTTCTTGCCCTTCAATCTTCAAATTAAATCAAATGGACTCAATTTGGACTAAAATGACAATGCCAGGTTGACACATTTAATGAAAGCACCATTATAACCAAGGTTATCAGTGTTTGCTGCATTTTCAAGTTTCTCAAGAAAAGTTAGTTACTCTTCCTTAAAAATGTGACTTAATACGAAGAAAACGATTAATCTGATGAAGTCACGATGGTAACAAAGAAGGAATAATTATTACAATTTTTAAATGGTCATTTAAAACTACCAGCTGTGAAAACATATTTTAAAATATTTATTGTATAATCTGCAACCATTAGTTTTTCATTAAAAAAGGGGATCAAATTAATTACTGCTATACATGAGATATTTTTAATATTTTCTTCACGAAACTAATCACACATTCATTGTTTTTTATTTTTTAAGTCATTCTAATATTCTCACCAATGTCATTACATACATACAATATATATTTTATATATATATATATACTTTAAAACATAAAAATATAGCAAAGTGGTAGTTATCCACTACACCAAAATATGCCTTCTGAGATTTGCATGCATTTTAGTTTTTGTTTGAAACAGTAACGCTTTGGGATTTCAGTTTAGTAATTAAAAGGAACAAAGATGATATTTTCCAGTATTTATGCTGTGCTCTTTCAAAACTACAAGAAAAATGAGCAAGCAGCTTGCTCATAACCAGAAATGTTGACAAGATTAATTCTTATCTCTGAAGCTTAATTAAGCATCTTAATTAAACCACCACATAACAATGAATTAAGAAATATATATGACAGGATAGGTTTTATGCACATTGGAGAGTATCTCAACAGTGGTTTAGAATGACTCCAAACTTTGTAACCTAAAATTTTAGAATTAAAAAACATTGCCTTTATTAGAAATATAATTAAAATTAATTGAGTTATCTTAAGCAATGCTCACAGCATTGACTGAAACACAAAGAAGACAGAAAATATAGAAAACAACTATTTCTCATAAACAGAGTTCACATGGAATCCTAATAAAAAGATTAAGTCAATGTATTGTTAGCCATCCTAAAATATTAGATAAATATAAAAATTGATTTCTAAAATTGATCCTAGGATTGTAAAGCATACATATACAAATATGAAAAAAACAGAGAAATAGAAAACACCAAAAAGATTTAGCAACTATATATTAAGAAAAAATGAGTAACAGCAAATTCTTTTGAATAAATATAAGAGGGAGAAAGGGATAAGGGAAGGATATGGAAGCTTCTTCATTTTAAAAATCAAACTAGACAACAGATTGCCAAAGAAAATGTTTCTTTGGGATCACAAAACAACTCTAAAACATTGCTAAGGTATATCTGAAAGACATGTTTGTTTGTTTATGTATTATCTCATATCTAAAAGGAAAGTAAGAAAGGTAAATATGGTAGCTGTGGAAAGGGAGGTTTCAAGTACAATTAATGGAAGACATTCACCATGAACATTACGTTATCAACTATCATCACTATCACCAAAAATGACACCATGCAAGATTTAAAGAGGAAAACAAAATAAGAATGACTGCTGAGGATTCTTAAGTTAGGCTATTATTTTCAGAAATATGATCCAAAAAATCAGAGATTTTGTGTTAACTTTTCCTTAATTCTTTCACATTTAAAAATATGATGCCTAAGTTTACATTTCAAGCAGATTATAAATCAAAGTTTTGGGGAAAAGGAAAGTTCTAAGACTGTAAACAAGCACCAATATCCAAATGCTGGTATCATACTCACTATCAAAACTTTGCAAAGAGCTCCATCTTCAGGTCTTTCACAATATGCTGAGCTTAGTTATAAAGGTATCTATTCTTTTCCCTCATAGACTGTAGTATGTCTTATGTAATCAAGTTATTGCTCAAACATTTCTATTCCTGAGGATGCACCAATGGGAGAGCATTTGTTCCATGGTTATTCCCTGAGGCTAATTCTAAAGAAGGAGGGCTAAAGGCAAAAGACTTCTTCATTTTCTAGGTTTAGAAGCAACTACATTATTATATTTTTCTCATCTTCCAATATTTTCCTCATCTTCCAGTTTCTCAAATTTTTTATTAAAGTTCTTAAATACAACATTTACAAGCTGTGACTAAAGCAAAATAGGGGGATTTGAGCAATTTTCTTCCTACTAAGTAATTATTCTTTCTCTACTTGTTTACCCGTGCTTATTAATGTCAGAGATAGTGATCACATAAAAGAATCTGGAAGGAATTATACGGAACAAACTAATCTGATATATTTCAAAATCCTGACTTATTAATCTTAAGACTCTGCTGCAAGTTACTTGGCATCTTATCTCAAAGAATGACACGCGTCCCAGACAGACCTGCTTTCAGATATCACATGTCTAAAAATTACCATATTTATTCATTGAGGCAAGCAACTCCTGAAATAGAGGTATAAAAAGAAGAAGAGCCCAGACGCGATGGCTCATGCCTGTAATCCCAGCACTTTGGGAAGCAGAGGCGGGTGGATCACAAGGTCAGGAGATCGAGACCATCCTGACTAACACGGTGAAACTACTAAAATGTACTAAAAATACAAAAAAAAATTAGCCAGGTGTGGTGGCAGGCACCTTGGGAGGCTGAGGCAGGAGAATGGCATGAACCCAGGAGGCAGAGCTTGCAGTGAGCAGAGATCAGGCCACTGCATTCAACCTGGGCAATAGAGCGAGACTCTGTCTCAAAAAAAAAAAAAAAAAGAAAGGAAAGAAAGAAGAGGCTCCTCCAAAGCATTGATCTTCATACCAAACAGCAACATAGACAGATTTAGACAATCAAGCAAAAATATTTACACAGTTAAGCATGCAAATCTACTAATGACCATAAATTTTGACCATTAAAATTTCACATAAAGTTCTCTTAACATATTGTAATGGTTTGCATGGGGATATTTCCATATCATGATTACATGAGTAAAACACTCATTCAACAACAAGAAATATATCTGTCATGAAATATTAAGTAGTCTCCTCATACAGACAATTATGAAATTGCAGTATTGCAAGGCAGAGTAAGTATGTAAATTTCTACAAAGAAATGTGAAGACAATACCTGCACCAAGCCTCAGCTCCTCAGAACAACTCTAGCAAAAGGTCAGAAAAAGAACCACTGAATCTCAGGTTTGGAAAAACCATTAAAGATAATTTAATCCAACCGCACTTCTAAAGACAGATCGCTTCTAATGACCTAACAGGTTATCCACAAGTTGATAGCTCCCAACCACTCCCCTGAGCCTTTCCTTCTCCATCCTAACCAGTCACAGTTCGGTGATCCTTCTATATCTAATGATTTGAAGTCCTTCATCTTCTTGCTCCTTTCCTCTGGAGGAAGTATTATTTGATACATTTTTGAAAGTGTGATGCCGAGGACTGAATACAATCCTCTAGAAGTGACCTTCGCAGAGCTGGGAGGAGTGATCTAAAACCTTTGCACAGTAGATGATATATTTTTATCAATATAAGTTAGTTTTAAATTCATTTTAATCAGAAAAGGGGGTAAAGGAAAAGGAGGACACGAAGGGATTATTGCTTGCTAATCAAATGAGGATGTCTTCTATTCTTACATTCCTTTCTCTGCCATTGTTGTTTGCAAAAAGAAAACTGTAGCCATAAGTAGACTCTCTAGAAAACTGAATGTATCAAATCATAAATATGTTATTTATAAAGACAAATATATTTTTTCTTATGCTGAGCTATTACACTTTATGAGGAATTTTTATAAAATTTGGTGTGGTTTATTTAAAAACATAATAAAATGTTCTCATTTCTTTTGTCTAGAAAGAATTAGTGTTTGCTAAAGATTTACATGTAAAATATAACTTCTAAAATGGAAGGAGCTGACCTGATTTATAATTATATCAATACCATAAAACTAAACTAGAAGAAATAACTTAGAGTACCTCTGTTTATTGCTGAAAAAAAAGATTAAAACCAAACCAACCAAATCGTTTATTTGTTTCTTATCAGTGATAGCATAAACTGAATCCAACGAGACTCATGTATTAAACCTATAAAGCCAACAAAATAGATTGTACATACATATACACATTGTGCATACATATACACATATACATATATAGATATGGATCATGTAAATATGGATGAAAGGAGATATATATCTACTATAATATATATATATACACACATAAATACTTCCCTGTAATATTTTAGAAACAGGCTCTAATGCAAACAAAACACAAAATATAAAAGTGAAAGTCTTAGCCACTATCTTCTTTCCCTATATACTTTACATTCTACAACTCCAGAGTATTTTCCTTTACTGTGTTTAAATCACAGTTTGCTAATGTTAAAACAAATCTCTATATCTATATCTATATCTATAATCACTTCAAGATGTGGTTGAGGAACATTCTGCGTCTGCTGACATTGGAATCATTGAAGAAGCTGAAATTATTTCAGCCTAGTGTTAAGTGGCGGAAAGAACCACATAGCCCTCTCTTAATTGAGACATCAATCAATTTCTGGGCCTCCACCTTCCAGTGCATGTGCAGTGCAGATACTATATGGGCAGTACTTCAGACTCAAGAAAAAGGGAGGAGGTGGGGAGTGACAGGAGCACCCAAACAGCACACTACCTCCTGGAACAGAGCTCCCTAAATAACTAACTCTGCAATTTAAATGGGGGCTGTGCTGTGAATTCATATGAAATAAACTAAAACAGAGAATAAGTAAACATTGTCTTTTATGTAGTCTGAAAACACTAAGTAAATGTATTTGTTTAAACTAGTAGACTCAAGTTGCTGTGATTTCTGCATTAGTCTTCTGAAATTCCTTCATCAGCAGCCAAAATCCTTTTCAAATGTATGGGACCCGCTTAAGCCAAAGCTGTAAGTCAAATTGCTATTTGACCAGATTCAATACTATGGTTGTGATGTTATAACAAGAAATATACATGATTCCTGGCCAGAGCTCCTAAAATACTTTTAATTCCTAAATGATAACAGTAATGAAATTGAAAGGGTCATCTTTTCTTACTCATAAGAAGACTTCTTTAAACCCACCTGAGTTTATGTTAATGAGGGGACTTATGTCTCTAAAGATGGGGGAGCCTGATGACCCGAGGAGTCAACCATGTGATTGGAGGGTTGGAACATTCAGCCCCAGCTCCCAACCTTGATGGAATGGAGAGTGACTAGAGATTGACTTAATCATCAATGCCTGATCATTTAATCAATCATGCCTATATGGTGAGGCCTTCATAAACACCCAAAGGGACAGATTTGAAGAGTCCAGATTCCCAAACACATGGTGATGCTGGGACGGTGTTGTGCCTAGAGAGAGTATGGAAGCTCCAAGCGCCTTCTCCCATTTCTTGCCCTATGCATCTCTCCCATCTGACTGTTCTTGAGTTGAATTATTTATAATAAACTGGTAATCTAGTAAGTAAACTGCTTTCCTGGGCTCTGTGAACCATTCTAGCAAATGGTTGAACCCAAGAAGGGGGTCATGAGAACCTTCAATTTATAGCTCTGCCATCAAAAGTACAGGTGACAATTTAGACTTCAACTGTCCTCTGAAGTGGGAGGCAGTCTTGTGGGACTGAGCCCTTAACCTAAAGCACTTGATGGTATCTCCAGGTAGATAGTGTCAGAACTGAGTTAAGTCGAAGAACATCAAGTTGATGACTGCAGAGAATTGGAGAAATGCTTACTATGTGGGGAGGAAATCCGCACTTTTGATCACAGAAATGTTCTGTGTTGAATGTGAGTATATAAAGAAAAAGTGTTTTTCCCATTCAATAGCATTTAAATAAACTAAGACATATAAAAAATTATAAGGCAATAAAAAGAGGAAGACAATAAGGCTTTTCAGTGGAAATAATTATATAAATTGTAATTTCACTAACCTAAAACATCCTTTCTCAATAAAAAACTTGAGGATTTTGTTTTATTAAATTTAATTTAGTCACTGAATATTTAAATTGAGGGAAGGAAATAATTTTTCATAATTGGTAATGAAACCATAAATGATTTTTGTACACTTTATAGAGTAATTTTAAAGATTTAATCAGTTATACAATGTTCAGCTACTTGATTTGGCACTATTATTTATCCAGACCTGACCAGAGTAAAATAATGGAATTTGGTCCATGCATGTTGTCTTAGTCTGTTCCATGCACCTCTATCAGAATACCACAGACTGGGTAATTTATAGAGAAAAGAAATTTATTTCTTATATTTCCAGAGGCTGGGAAGTTCAAGGTCAAGTTGCCACATCTGGCAAGGGTCTTCTTGCTTCATCATCTTACGGTGAAAGGCAGAAGGGCAATGGAGTTTGTGTGTGAGAGAAAGAGAGGGAGAGAAAGGGGAGGGAGAAGAAGTGGGCCAAACTCAACCTTTTATCAGGAACCCCCTCCTGAGATAACTAACCCACTCTAATCCATTCACAAGGGAGAGCCCTTATGACCTAATCACCTCTTAAAGGCTCCACCTCTCAATACTGTTGCCTTGGGGATTAAGTTTCCAACACATGAACTTTGGGTACACATTCAAACCACAGCACATATCATAAATATTTCTTTATTCCTCTTGAGAAAAATTCACCTTTCTTATGAGTAAAATTCCAAAGTAAAGAAGCAGGAAAAGAAAAACACAAAATAGAAAAGTCATAGTCTTTTTGTCTATAAAACCATGACTACATAGGAGTGCCTGAATACAAATCTAAATATATTAAAAAGCTTATTATACTACTACTTATAAACAATATGCTCCCCTTTGGTATAAAACTCAGAATTATTGGTTATCTGAGAAGTAAATATTAAAAGAATATAATACTATTACAACATCATGACAAAAGCTATCACCCTTTTAAAAGTTTTTTTGTATTTTTAATTTTTGTGGAAACACAGTAGGTATATATATATATTTGCTATCACCCTTTTTGAGTGCTATTTTCTCAGCATTATACTATGTGCTTCACAAACATTAGTTAGTTTATCATCATGACAAATATTATGTATATGTATTTTGTTATATCTATTTTCCAGAAAATAAAGCCAAAGCTAAGTTGCGTGTGATCTGTCCAACAGCTATCTGTCTGACCCAAAGCTGATCTTCAGTCCTGCTTCTCTGCCTTTAAAACATCACTTTAAAAAAAACCATACACTATGCTTACACAATCATATTGACATATATTCTAAAAAATTGAATTTAATTTTTATAGTCTATATTCTTCTTATGCTCATAATACACCTTATACTAGAAATATTTCTTACTTTTATTTTTATGGAATTTTTATTGATATCAACAATAACAAAATAGAATTTTAGACACACAAAATTTAATCAACATTAATAATGTTACTGTATTTTAATGACATACTGGATCATTATATTAAGAATTAGACAATTAAATTATATAATGGAAGCCAAGTTTTCAGGATATTAAAGTGGTTGCTAAGAAATGAGCAAAAGGAAAAATAAAAGATGGAATTTCTACATCAGAAAAAAGAATGTTGAAAACCGTCTATGAAATAAAAATATTCTAAATTGTCATTAATTATTGCAAAACAGTATATTTTACATATTAATCCTCAGAAAAAAAAATAATGAAAGATAGGGAAGAGTTTTCATAAATCAATACTTTAATTTTTCTTACTTTTCAAAGTGAAGTAGTAAGTACATAAATGTAAGTGTTTTTAAAATGGGGAAAAAATCTAGAGTTAGCATTATTGTACTCTGTTAAATAAAACAGTATTTCAAGAGCAGAGATATATTTAGCCATATAATTTCCTTTTCCTAATTATTGAAAAACATGAAGTTTTACCTTTTAAGATTAATTTAAATTAACTTTACTATTAAAGTTTTTATTTTTCCATTGCTTAAGAACATTTAACCACAGCTTATAACTTTTGAATCTCTCTATACCTATATAAAATGATAATTCCTTTGAAATTAGAAATTTCTCTCTGAAAGTGCACCCAAAAAGTTTGGTTTGGTTTGCTTTGCTTATCTTTTGTTTGGTTTGATTTGGTAGCAGTCAGAATTGGCCTGTTCCCAAGGGAAAGAGTTAGGAAAATTCTGAGCCCCATATTTGGAAAGGTTGTTAGTCTTAAATGTTTCTAACCTGGCAAGAGTGGCTGCCCCATTTGCAGTTGCCACTAGGTGGAAGTCAAGCCACTCCCTCCACACAGCCTCTTGCCACAGTCTCAAGGCCATCCTTGCCCGCATTTTATCCAGAGCCCGCCTGTGAAAAGGAGGGTCCATGCCTCACTCATGACCATGTGTGGGCCCTGTGCCGTCTCAGCTGCCCACAGAGATGCTGACAGCTGCGTGGGGCCTCAGCCTGCCACCTCTCTAAATTTTGAACCTCAGCCAGGAATGTAAAAAAAGAAGAGTGAGCATCTTATAACCACAGCCAAGCTCGTGACGGCCTGATCACTCCAACGTGTCTAAATCATTCTGAAGACTTATCCACATAATCGGTATTGCAGATAAGTTTTCTTTTTTAATCTTTTCTGCCAATGTATTCAAACAGCTCAACAGCTCTTGCTGTTGCTCCTCCTTCTAATCACCCCTCCTCATACTTCAGATATCAGGATTTTTTTTCAAGAGCACTCAAATTTATATTTCTATCAAAACAGAGAGAGACACAATGTCCATGAGCTAGGCCCTGTGGAGGCCACTTACTGCATTAATCAGAGGGAAGACAACCACAGCGAAATTTCTGTGAAGAACACCGACTTCAGCCAGCACACCCCGGCGTTATCATGAGAAAGGTGAAGCTTGGCAAACCAACCACAATCAGCATCTGCATCATGACCCTGATAATCAAGGCAGAGTCTGCTCAATCCAGATGAGCAGCTCAAGGCACAATAGCTCAAACTATTCTTTAATTCAGGTTTCAGAAAGAAAATAAAGGGAATTATTGAGTAATCACTCAAACTATGATATTGAATGAGATCTATGAATATATACAATTACATACATAATTTGAGTGTAATAATATGTATATACTAAAACTATAATACAGGTACAGTAAGGCTCAAATATAAATTTCAAATTAGCTCCTCCATAAAAATGGGTAAAAATTCTCAGCAAAAATGTGGCCTCTACTCTGGTGCATTCAGGTTCCCTTGTCTCTTTGCACTGCCCATGTTTTTTTTTTTTAAAAAAAAACAAAAAACCTCTTCTCTGTACTTCGGTTCTTTTCATACCATGTGAGAACACCAAAAAGCTGGTTTTTAATATGAGGACCATAAACCAGTTCTCTACTTACAAAGTTGATCAGTGTTCATTTCTAGTGCAATTATTTTTGGTAGATACCTTCTGGGGCTTGTTCACTCCAATATATTCTTTTTTTAAAATGCCAGCCACTGTTTACTCTCCAGTAACATGGCTCCATGACTCCAGACCTGGCAGTCTGAGAGCTCTTCTCTGAGCATACTATAAGTCGCTTCTTTTATTCAGCACCCAGGACAGTGCTGTGGTTTAGAGCAGACTCTAAAGCCAAGCTCTTTAGATGTGAGTCCTTGCTCTGTCACTAACTAGCTGTATGGCCTTCAGAGATCTACAGGGCTTTCCTTTCCTCCAGATGCCCCATCTATATAATGGGGATAATTGGATCTTACTATTAGTGTTCTGTAAGAATTAAAATACCTAATTCATGTAAGGCACTTGGAACTAAGTGTGGCATGTGTTAAGCATTTAACAAACGTTACCTATTTTATTCTGCACATTTGACGTCTACTATTCAACTAATTTGAGAGAAAGTATCTGAATGCAATACCCATGTGGTGGCCCTGATTTCTTTAACTGGAAGGGGGATGTTTCTCATCTAACTAGCTAAGTTGTTGCATCATCAAGAAGACATGACCAAATTCCAACTTTGTACATAAGTGGACCAGTTTTGAGAGGCTACGAAGCTCAACCAAGGCTAAATCATTATATGATGTCCCTAAAGGCCGTCATTAAATTTTGGTTGCCATGCCAATTTGTTTCTCTGTAGCTGCTGAGCTACAAGATAAAATTTCATTCTATTTTGACTCATCACATCTTTAGAAAAGCTGTGAGATCATGTTATTAAATCCTGGTGGGCAACCAAGAACTGTGAAGACTTTTAGGAAAGTGACTTCCTGGTTGAAGAATGGAGAGTGTCTACTGTTAGCAATAATAGGGAGGATATGAGGGAAAACTAAACCTTGCTTGTTTCCCCTGGGAAATGTAAGATCTAGTTGTTCATATTTAGGAGAAAGCTACTGAAGTTTTGGATTAAACCTGGGCCTTGTCTGCATGGCTCACTCAGGTTAGTAACTACTTAAAGGAAGGAGTAGACCAGGCACAGTGGCTCACGCCTGTAATCCCAGCACTTTGGGAGTCTGAGGCAGGTGGATCATGAGGTCAGGAGGATCACGAGTTCAGGAGTTTGAGACCAGCCTGGCCAACATAGTGAAACCCCATCTCTACTAAAAATACAAAAATTAGCCAGGTGTGATGGCACGCACCTATAGTCCCAACTACTCAGGAGGCTGAGGCGGGAGAATCGCTTGAACCCAGGAGGCAGAGGTTGCAGTGAGCCGAGACCGCACCATTGCACTCCAGCCTGGGTGACAGAGTGAGACTCCGTCTTGAAAAAAAAAAAAAAAAAAAAGAAGGAAGGAGTAGTACCTGGTCTAGGGTAATGGTTATTTTTATGGGTCAACTTGGCTAGGCCAGAGACCCACATACTTGATCAAACACATCTGGATATGGCTGTGAAGCAATTTAAATCAGCTGACTTTGAGTAAAGCAAATTACCCTCCATAATGTGGTGGGTCTCATCCAATCAGCTAAAGGTTTTCAGAAAAAAACTGATGTCACCTGAGAAAAAGGGAACTCTGTCAGTAGACTGCCTTTGGATTCAAACTGCGGTATCAACTTTTCCCTGAGCTTCTGGCTTGCTTGCCTACTTTATACACTTTGGACTGTCCAGCTTCCACAATCACATAAGCCAACTCCCTAAAATATTTATTTCAATATAGATAGATACCTGTATAGATACGTATATATATCCATATATGTAAAAATCTATATATGGGCATATAGATATGTATGTATATATGTGTACATTTTATACATATACAGCCTATTGGTTCTGTTTCTCTGGAGAACCCTGACTAATACACCTAGCTTCTGAGAGGGCATTACTAAATATTGACAACCTAGATGCACTAGGTCCAGAGGGTGAGTTGCCCATGTCTTTCTCAATTTCCTCTGGGTGGATGTCAGATGGTACATGTTTTGTAATTGTCTTTGTAAAAGGGCAGAGACTGGCCCAGCCCATGGGCCTCCATAAAGTGACAACTCACCCAGCACTGAGAACGATTTGCTGAATTTACATTAAAAACGCTGGAGTCACCAAAAACAAAAAAAAAAGCAAAGATAGACTTAAATTCTGCCTCCTTTCAAAAAGTATGAGTTCTGTTTTTTTATGTTTTTAATTTTATTTTAAGTTCTGGGGTACATGTGCAGATGGTGCAGGTAAAGCATGAGTTCTTAAGGCACTGAAAAAATCTATGAAACTTTGGAAAAACTTGATGTAATGTAATTTTTATTTTGTAAAAACATAAATTTTCATATAATCCCAAATTACTAGAGAGGTTGCTTCTTAAATTTCTAATTTCGTGGTGCAATACTTTCTTTTTTTAAGATAACTTCCTGCATCAATACAGAATGCATTTGGCTGCAAGTATCCAACCAATATGCTGCAAATAGATTATGGGCGTGCAATGACTCTATCACTCCCATCAACTCTTAGATCAGCAGAGAGTCTGGATTGTCCAGATTACCTAGGCCAATTACCTCCAGGCATGAGCTCTTCAAAGGGCTCTTCAAAGGGCTGCTCCAGGCCGGGCGCGGTGGCTTATGTCTGTAATCCCAGCACTTTGGGAGGCCAAGGCAGGTGGATCATGAGCTCAGGAGTTCAAGACCAGCCTGGACAAGATGGTGACACCCTGTCTCTACTAAAAAAAAAAAAAAAATACGAAACTTAGCTGGGAGTGGTGGTGGGCGCCTGTAATCCCAGCTACTCAGGAGGCTGAGGCAGAGAATTGCTTGAACCTGGGAGGCGGAGGTTGCAGTGAGCTGAGATCGCACCACTGCATTCCAGCCTGGGTGACAGAGTGAGACTCCATCTCAAAACAAAAACAAAAACAAAAACAAAAAACAACAACAACAACAAAGGGCTGCTCCAGCAGACTAAAGATTGATGGTGTGTTGCATGGTCCTCACGGGCAGCAAAAACCAAGAGGGGCATCCAGCCATTTGCTGTTCTATGATGGACATATTACATACAGTCAAGTATGCCATATTATCTGAACAACTACTTAATGGCCAGTAACAAGGCACACTGTGCACTGCTGCGCATCATAGGCAGAAGCTCACAGAGCTACTGGTAGCATTCCTGTTCCAGGTGCCCAGAGAGCATAGCATATATAGGTCAAGGTACAGCTGCAAAGGGTTGGCTGGTACGCTGAGCAGGAGGCTGGCAAGCATGTCTCAGGCAGTGGCCTCCAACCTTCACATTTGTTGGATACTTCTCTTTGATGATGCTTATATGCCCTTTAGTAGTATGGAAGTGAGTAACAGGGTAACTCTTTTAATTACTAATGCATTTCTACAGATTACATTTTCATTATTTTAAATATTTGATATGAAAAATTCCAATTAAATTCTACATCTGTTTACATTATCACAGGATATTTTGATATTACATCTGTCACAGAAAGAAAATTAAAACTTTTAGATTCTTAGATAATATTTTCAACTGTTTTAAATTTTAATGGTAAAAATATATTTAAAATATTCTGCTATTTATGCAAATAATTTATCATCAGTTATTATTACTAAGAATTTGAAGAGATCATTTTAAAATCTTACTAAAATTTCTCAAAAAATTATATCTAGATATTTATGCAAATTAAATATTTAAATTTTATGCCAATTAAATATTGATTTTCTTCTATTCTACTCTGTATTTTCTTATTATCACCATAAATTCTCTGCAGATTATCCCAGCATGCATTTCAAACATTATAATTCTCTTGTATAGTGATTAGATAAAGAATGAGAAACATTGCCTTAAATAAGGTCTATTTTTCCCCCACATCAATAAATTTTCAGATTGTTGCTGCATCATCAACTCCTACAAGTTTTCTAAAAACAAGTCATACGTCAAGTTCATCGTTGAATCCTTAATTCCTCGTCTAGTGACCAGTTTGACATGTGTTAAATGAATGAAGAAATAAGTACGGGCAAAGATAGTTGCCTTGTTTCAAAATAAAACTTTAAGACTATAGCCATTTCTTTTTTTATTATCTTTTTTTCTACCTTCTTTGATTTTATTTCTTATATTTTTATTTTTCTATTATACTTTAGTATAATAAAAGTACTGGAATACATGTTATACTTTAATATACATCTTATACTTTATTATAATAAAGTACTGGAATACATGTGCAGAACATGCAGGTTTGTTACATAGGTATACACATGCCATGGTGGTTTTCTGCACTCATCAACCTGACATTTACCTTAGGCATTTCTCCTAATGCTATCTCTCCCCTAGCCCCCCACCCCCTGACAGGCCCTGGTGTGTGATGTTCCCCTCCCTGTGTCCATGTGTTCTCATTGTTCAACTCCAACTTACAAGTGAGAACATGCGATGTTTGGTTTTCTCTTCTTGTGATGGTTTCCAGCTTCATCCATGTCCCTGCAAAGGACATGAACTCATCCTTTTTTATGACTGCATAGTATTCCATGGTGTATATGTGCCACATTTTCTTTATCTAGTCTATCACTGATGGGCATTGGCATTGTTTCCAAGTCTTTGCTATTGTGAATAGTGCCGCAATAAACATACGTGTGCATATGTCTTTATAGTATAATGATTTATAATCCTTTGGGTATATACCCAGCAATCCCATTGCTGGGTCAAATTGTATTTCTGATTCTAGATCCTTGAGGAATTGCCACACTGTCTTCCACAATGGTTGAACTAATTTACACTTCCACCAACAGTGTAAAAGCATTCCTACTTCTCCACATCCTCTCCAGCATGTGTTGTTTCCCAACTTTTTAATGATCGCCATTCTAACTGGTGTGAGATGGTATCTCATTGTGGTTTTGATTTGCATTTCTCTAATGACCGGTGATGATGAGCTTTTTTTCGTACGTTTGTTAGCTGCATAAATGTCTTATTTTAAGAAGTGTCGTTCATATCCTTTGCCCACTTTTTGATGGGTTTTTTTGTTTTTTTCCTGTAAATTTGTTTAAGTTCCCTGTAGATTCTAGATATTAGCCCTTTGTTAGATAGATAGATTGCAAAAATTTTCTCCCATTTGGTAGGTTGCCTGTTCACTCTGATGATAGTTTCTTTTGCTGTGCAGAAGCTCTTTAGTTTAATTAGATCCCATTTGTCAACTTTGGCTCTTGTTGCCATTGCTTTTGGTGTTTTAGTCATGACGTCTTTGCCCATGCCTATGTCCTGAATGGTATTGCCTAGGTTTTCTTCTAGGGTTTTTAAGGTTTTAGGTCTTATGTTTAAGTCTTTAATCCATCTTGAGTTAATTTTTGTATAAGGTGTAAGGAAGGGGTCCAGCTTCAGTTTTTTGCATGTGACTAGTCAGTTTTCCCAACACTATTTATTGAATAGGGAATCCTTTCCCCATTGCTTGTTTGTGTCACATTTGTCAAAAATTGATGGTTGTAGATGTGTGGTGTTATTTCTAAGGCATCTGTTCTGTTCCGTTGGTCTATCTGTTTTGGTACCAGTACCATGCTGTTTTGGTTACTGTAGCCTTGGAGTATAGTTTGAAGTCAGGTAGCATGATGCCTCCAGCTTTGTTCTTTTTGCTTAGGATTGTCTTCCCTATATAGGCTCTTTTTGGGTTCCATATGAAATTTAAAGTAGTGTTTTCTAATTCTGTGAAGAAAGTCAATGGTAGCTTGATGGGGATAGCATTAAATCCATAAATTACTTTGGACAGTATGGCCATTTTCATGATATTGATTCTTCCTATCCATGAGCATGGAATGTTTTTCCATTTGTTTGTATCCTCTCATTTCCTTGAACAGTGGTTTGTAGTTCTCCTTGAAGAGGTCCTTCACATCCCTTGTAAGTTGGATTCCTAGGTATTTTATTCTCTTTGTAACAATTGTGAATGGGAGTTCACTCATGATTTGGTTCTCTGTTTGTCTATTATTGGTGTATAGGAATGCTTGTTATTTTTGCACATTGATTTTGTATCCTGAGACTTTGCTGAAGTTGCTCATCACCTTAAGGAGATTTTGGGCTGAGATGATGGGGTTTTCTAAATATACAATCATGTCATCTTCAGACAGAGACAATTTGACTCCCTCTCTTCCTATTTGAATACCCTTTATTTTTTTCTCTTGCCTGATTGCCTTGGCCGGAACTTCCAAATACTATGTTGAATAGGAGTGGTGAGAGAGAGCATCATTGTCTTGTGCCGGTTTTCAAAGGGAATGTTTCCAGCTTTTGCCCATTCAGTATGATATTGGCTGTGGGTTTGTCATAAATAGCTCTTATTATTTTGAGATATGTTCCATCAATACCTAGTTTATTGAGAGTTTTTAGCATAAAGGAGTGTTGAATTTTATCGAAGGCCTTTTCTGCATCTATTGAGATAATCATGTGGTTTTTGTCATTGATTCTGTTTATGTGATGGATTACATTTATTGATTTGCATATGTTGAACCACTCTTGTGGCCCAGGGATGAAGCTGACTTGATCGTAGTGGATAAGCTCTTTGATGTGCTGCTGGATTCAGTTTGCCAGTATTTTATTGAGGATTTTCGCATCGATGTTCATCAGGGATATTGGCCTGAAATTTTCTTTTTTGTTGTTGTGTCTCTGCCGGTTTTGGTATCAGGATGATGCTGGCCT